>NC_000013.11:71589924-71741439 GCF_000001405.40 Homo sapiens | reverse complement strand
TTAACCATAATGAAGTAGAGTTGAGCTCCATTCCTGGAAAAACAATAAGACGAACAAAGTTCTTGTTTGATCAATGTTTTTATGCCAGCCTGTCCTTACTTAGCAGTATCTGATAAGGCATTTCCTTGTGGGCATTTTTCTTTTCTTCTCTTTTCCCAATAATCAAAATTAAAAAGTCAATTATTGAATGACTTCCATGTGCTTGGTACTTTGCAATGGAAATTTTGCCAAATACGCCATGAGTAATATTTCAAGAAACTGTTTGAACTTGGGTGGGAAGATGATATGTACATAGCAAGTTACTTCTAAGAAAATGGAAAGATAAAAACAGCATTGTAGAGTTAAGAGGAGAGTTATAACAATTACTACTAGTTTTTCTTTAGAAAACTAATAATTTACTGTTTTATCTTGAGAGTATATTGCTACTGGGCTGATGTGGGCCATTTCATGTTATCTTCAGTGATACAAAGTAAAAAGTCTTCGCTTTATCTGTCAAGGCCAAAATAAAGTGTCAAGGCTAAAAGGTAGGTAGATGGCTTCCATTTTAACATAATTTTAAAAAAATGTTTAGGAGAATATTCAAATCTATGTTATAATCTATGTTTTCAGTATGAAAAATGACAACATATTATACATCATATCATCATGTGATAACATGTTCAAAATAAAGTGATTCTTGTAACTTTTCACTTAAAATAATACATTATGTACTGGGAAGTAACTGCTATGAGATATTAAATACACCCACACCCCAGGCAGTAGCACATGCAATATCTTATTCAGCTTTATGACTGTTGCTACCTTTACCTTATGCTTTAACTCTGACAGTTGATCCTCCAATTTGAACTGTCTTAACATAAACAATTTTTTTCTTTGAAGCACAATCACTTGAAATATAAATAAATCAATATATTACTGAGGAGTTTTAAAGAACATAGGCCAAGGTTTGATTTCTATGTGATCTTTAAATTTAAAACATTATCTGCTTTCTAAGATGTCTTTTAATTCCCTGTGCTTCATGTTTAGTTGGTTTCAAATTGTCAATAAAAATAGGGACATACTTTTTAAAGAAAAATACTTGTTAAAGGAAAGAGTTCTTGAAATCATGTAATTTTTTTTTTGTTTTGTTTTAGAGTGAATTCTTCTTTAATTGACTTGTAAAGAGTGAAGTATTTGGAATTCATTTTATTTGATGTAGGTAGTAGAAAATAGCTTGAAGAAGATATGCCAGATGTGCGATTTAGCTGTCTTCATCAGTCTTGAGAAAATAGAGTGAGCAAAGGATAAATCCAACAGTTGTTGAACTACTTTTGCGTGTGGGATTCTAGTTAACGAGACAATGTCTGGATGCAATTATTTGGAAAGTTCTTGACCTTTTATTTGTACAAGTTGATATAATTATGATTTCATGAGGAATGGTTTTGAAATTCTTAAACCAATTTTAGTCCTGTGTTTATATTGTGTCTTTTACTTTAGAAATCCTGGAAATGTTTTCTACTTTTAACTTTTACAGTGTGTCTTTAAAAGCTCACGTTATTAGCTTCAAAGTGTTTTAGTTTAAATTCCCATTTCAAAGAATTATTCTTGCTTAGTTACAAAGAAAATTTGTAACAGCATTCTATGATTCTTAATTCAAATGCCTTCATATTTTTCTATTTGTACTTGATGATAAAAAATAGAGAAAATAAATACATGTGTACCACTTCTTACTGGCCAGCTAACCAAACTTAGCAGTCAAGTAACAGCTGCAAAAACCACTTCAGGTTCCTAGCTCTATTTCTAGAGCTGTCTTGTCCAGGACAGTGGCTGCTACCCACCTGTGGCTCTTGAGCACCTGAAAGGTAGATAGTGCAAACTGACAGTCTTTAAGTGTAAAGTACTTGACAACTTTAAATAAGATAATAGGAAAAAAGAATGTAAAATTTCTCAATAATTTTCATGTGGGTTACTTATTGAAACATAATAACTTGAATACATTAAGTAAAATATATTGTTAAATTACTTTCATCTCTTTAATTTCAATTTTTTAAAGATGCTTACAATTTTATATGGGGTTTTCATTATATTTCTATTGAACAGTGCTATTCTACACACAAGCTCATCTTCCTTAAATATTGTTGGTGCCTCGAACCATGATTCCATCACTTCTTTTCATTGGCCAATTTCTTTTTTTCTTTTTTTTGAATTGAGACATAGTTTCACTCTTGTCACCCAGGCTGGAATGCAATGGCGCGATCTCGGCTCACCACAACCTCCACCTCCTAGGTCCAAGAGATTCTCCTGCCTCAGCTTCCCACGTAGCTAGGATTACAGGCATTCACCACTACGGCAGCTAATTTTTGTATTTTTAGCAGAGATGGGGTTTCACCATGTTGGCCAGGCTGGTCTTGAACTCCTGACCTCAGGTGATCCGCCCGCCTCGGCCTTCCAAAGTGCTGGGATTACAGGAGTAAGCCACCGTGCCTGGCTGCCAATTTCTCATAATAGTTGTTGATTCGCGTTTCTTCCTGTGTCCAATGTAGACTACAACTTCTTGTACATTGTCTTCCATAAAAATTTATTAACTTTCTCAATTCCCCATTAAAGTAACCTGCAACTTCTTCATTGCCAGATCATCTCAGTCCTTATTCTCTTTTCCTTTCTGTTTTTTTTTCTTGAGCATTTGATAGTTTTCTGTCTTTTTTTTTTTTTTTTTTTTTTTTTTTTTTGAGACAGAGTCTCGCTCTGTTGCCCAGACTGGAGTGCAATGGCACAATTTTGGCTCATTGCAACCTCTGCCTCCCCGGTTCAAGCAACTCTCCTGCCTCAGCCTCCTGAGTAGCTGGGATTACAGGCAGGTGCCACCATGCCTGGCCAATTTGTTATTTTCAGTAGAGATGGGGTTTCACCATAATATTGGTCAGGCTGGTCTTGAACTCCTGACCTCATGATCCTCCCACCTCGGCCTCCCAAGGTGCTGGGATTATAGGCTTGAGCCACCTCACGCAGACAGTTTTCTGTCTTTTAAATTTTCATTTTGCTTGTTTCCATCCTGATCTCTTTTTCCCTGAATTTTATTTCTCAATTAATATTGTAAATGTATCTTTTTCACCATGGAATTGTTTATCGAGTATTGGAAAAAGTATGGGACAAAATTCCCCTCTCTCCTCACTCACCCTGCCCCAAGTACACCTTGTTTTACCTATATTTCTCAAGACTGAGATTTGCTACTCTCTATTGGTGGAGGGGAACTCCTATTTAAGAATCACTTCCATGGGGAGCTACTCTTACTGATGAAAATTTATCAAACCCTGCAAGTATGCAAGAATACTTGAGGTTCTCTTTCTTAAAATATCAAATAACTCGTGCTTTGAATGATTACTTCCGTGCAGATGACTTCCAAATATATGTCCGTTTTTCTCCTCGGAACTACTAGTATTTGTCCCATTACTGAAGAACTTCACATATAAATTCCACCACCACCAAAATATATTAAAAACTGAGCTTATCTTCACTTTCAGCGTTACTCATCTTGTTTCCAGCAGGATCTCTTTTGTTTCAGCTAACCAGGCTTTCATATTTTTAGTCATTTTTAATAGAGACTTTGCTCCCTGAATCCTTGCATTTTATAAGCTATTAAACATTGTTGATTATAACTTCATTTTCTCTCAACTTCACCATTCCTATTGCCTCTAGTTTATAATATTGCTGATGTAGTTTGGGACATGATAGACTTTAGGACAAATGAATCTTCTAAATGATTTCCTTGCCCACAGACTTTCCATTTATGTTTGAAGCCAAACTATACATCAACAACAGCAAAAAGAACCCTCTCCTCCAAAAACCTTCAGTAGTTACTGATTGATTATAAAATAAGTCAATCTAACTTTTTAAAATTTAAGGCTTAGTATGGTTTCCAAACTATTTCCAGATTGATTGCATTCTTCTCCATTTTAAAGATGCCTTCATCAACTAAACTACTGCTGTTTTTCATAAATATTGTATGTTCTGTGGCTTTAGTGCTTTGGCTGTTGTTTGTCCCTATGTGGGGAGGGTACTTTTTCTGCCAAATCCCTCCTTCCCTTACCCCAAGTCTCGAATTCCAAGTTCCATTTGTGTTCCAGAGTTCCCTCAAAGGCTACCTGCTCCAAAACTATCTTCATGGTTTTGCACAACGCCTAGTTCTCTCTTCTGAACTCCCATAGCTTTTTCCCTTCAACTTTTTTTTTCTTTTTTTTGAGACGGAGTCTTGTTCTGTCGCCCAGGTTGGAGTGCAAAGGCGTGATCTTAGCTCACTGCAGCCTCTGCCTCTCGGGTTCAAGCGATTCTTCTGCCTCAGCCTCCCAAGTAGCTGGCTAATTTTTGTATTTTTAGTAGAGACGGGGTTTCACCATGTTGGCCAGGCTGGGCTTGAACTCCTGACCTCTAGTCATCCGCCCACCTCAGCCTGCCAAAGAGCTGGGATTATAGGCGTGAGCCACCACATCTATAATCTTCAACTTTAAAGTGTCATTTATCAGATTGTATATGGTGTTATGGTTTTCCATAAAGATGTTTTATATTCTATTTACTCTCTAAGAAGACAGGATCTGTGTCTGATTCCTTTGTTTACTACAGAGCTGAGCACATGGTATTTAATACATTATAGATTATGAAAGTTCCATAACTATTTATCAAATAGATGCATGTACTCATATACATCAGATCGATTAAGAAAACACACTATTACTGCTCTAATCCTATTGCTGTGATTGTCTATTGTTTTTATACTTCTGGGTTAACTATTGAATAAAAGGGTAAGCATTCATATTGATTTGACTCCCTCTTTCTTACGGGAAAAAAAATAGCAGTGCACTTTGAATATATTAGAGTGCTTTCACTTTTTCATTTCTGCCATCCAACCCTTTCAAGTATATCGGGCCCCATTCCATTTGTCTTTCAGCAATCACACACTTTTATATTTATATATATATTTTAAAATCTGTATTCCTTTTTAAGATATTTACCTTTTTTCCTTAAGCTGTTACTATGCTTTATCAGGTGTCTTTTTGGTTTTCTCAATAAAATTGCCCATATGTTCAAGGCCTTTGTCATTATGCTTTAGTACTTTAGTGAAGGTATGCTGCAGTATACGTAAAAAGTCCTTAATAAATTTTTGAATGAATCTGATATGTGATGGCACATCATGGTAATCTATTCTAAGGTGAATCACAAACAGCCTAGACTATATGTGTCCTCTTAACTTTGAGATTTGTTTTCAATAATTATTACTCTTTGGTCACTTTGAACAAAAGCTATTTTCATAGACTCTGGTCCTTCAAAACTCTTTCCTATTGCTTGGGGTTGATGTCTAGAAAATCCATGCATACCTCTACCACTCTGCTGGCATTTTCCATACTCTCTGTACACAGCTCAGTATATTTTGGTAGCTAGTATCATGGAGATAGATTTTTAATGCATTTTATATGACCTTTTAAGAAAAAGTGAGGTGTGAAATAGCCAGCAATCATTTGCAGCTGCCAAAAATGCCATGCAGGGTGCCTTTGATTTTACCGACTGCCACAATCTGGTTCAAATCCTTGTCATTATCTAAGACAAATTTCTACTCTGTTGTGTTATAAAAATAGATTAATTATAATAAAACAGGTAAAATTTTGAAATGGATTACCTTATGGGAAGTAAAAATAATTGGACTCTTTCCCTTAATTTCTAAATTACTTCTAGAATAAGAGAAATGTTTGGTGAAGAATCTTAACCCATCTAAGCAATGCGTTTGTCAAGTAGGAAGGGATATATATAATCCCATATATATACACGTATATCCCATATACACATATGCCATATACACGTATATCCCATATACGTATATCCCATATACACGTATATCCCATATACACGTATATCCCATATACACGTATATCCCATATACGTGTATATCCCATATACACGTATATCCCGTATACGTGTATATCCCATATACACGTATATCCCGTATACGTGTATATCCCATATACACGTATATCCGTATACGTGTATATCCCATATACGTGTATATCCCGTATACGTGTATATCCCATATACACGTATATCCCGTATACGTGTATATCCCATATACACGTATATCCCGTATACGTGTATATCCCATATACACGTATATCCCGTATACGTGTATATCCCATATACATACGTGTATCCCATATACACGTATATCCCATATACGTGTATCCCATATACATATGTATATCCCATATACGTGTATCCCATATACATACGTATATCCCATATACGAGTATCCCATATACATGTATAAACCATATACGAGTATCCCATATATATGTATAACCCATATACGTGTATCCCATATATGTATAACCCATATACGTATATCCCATATATATGTATCACCCATATACGTATATCCCATATATATATCCTGTGTGTGTATATATAAATATCCTGTGTCTGTATATATATATATATCCTGTGTGTGTATATATATATATATCCTGTGTGTGTGTGTTTATATATATGTATATATACATATATGGGATATACATATATGTATATGGGATATACGTATATGTATATGGGGTATACGTATATGGGATATACATATATATGGGGTATACGTATATGGGATATACATATATATGGGGTATACGTATATGGGATATACATATATATGGGGTATACGTATATGGGATATACATATATATGGGGTATACGTATATGGGATATACATATATATGGGGTATACGTATATGGGATATACATATATATGGGGTATACGTATATGGGATATACATATATATGGGGTATACGTATATGGGATATACATATATATGGGGTATACGTATATGGGATATACATATATATGGGGTATACGTATATGGGATATACATATATATGGGGTATACGTATATGGGATATACATATATATGGGGTATACGTATATGGGATATACATATATATGGGGTATACGTATATGGGATATACATATATATGGGGTATACGTATATGGGCTATACATATATATGGGGTATACGTATATGGGATACACATATATATGGGGTATACGTATATGGGATATACATATATATGGGGTATACGTATATGGGATATACATATATATGGGGTATACGTATATGGGATATACATATATATGGGGTATACGTATATGGGATATACATATATATGGGGTATACGTATATGGGATATACATATATATGGGGTATACGTATATGGGATATACATATATATGGGTATACGTATATGGGATATACATATATATGGGGTATACGTATATGGGATATACATATATATGGGGTATATATGTATCCCATATACATATATATATACACACACACATATATATTCAAGTGTGTTTTTATTTTGATTTTATTTTATTTTTTGAGATGGAGTGTTGCTCTGCCACTCAGGCTGGAGTGCAGTGGTGCAATCTCAGCTCAGTGCAACCTCCGATCCCCAGGTTCAAGTGCTTCTCCTGCATCAGCCTCCTGAGTAGCTCGGACTACAGGTACGGGCCACCATGCCTGGCTAATTGTTGTATTTTTAGTAGAGAAGGGTTTCACCATGTTGGCCACTGACTGTGCTTTGGTTTGGCTTATAGGAAATAATTTTTATGAACCAAAATTACATATAACATTCATTTTAAGAGAATAATATGAATTATTTATGATGACAAGTGAACCATTATGTAAAATGCTACTGTCATTAATAAAATGGCACCTTATGATGTGAAATTGCAAAATGACTAGCTTACTTTTAGGAAGTCACCAACACACTGGGATAATCTGATTGACAATTACATCATATTTTTATATTTAAGGAGTCCTTGCTCCTGTGTGCTGTCTAAACCACTGGTGGATGAATACTTTTAACAATTCTTAATATATATTAGTGCAGTGCTGAAGTTATCAAAGTGGGTCCGAAGAATAAATATATCAAATAGCAGTAATAGGCCAGGTGTGTTGGTCACACCTGTAATCCCGGCAGTTTGGGAGGCTGAGATAGGCAGATTGCTTGAACCCAGGACTTCAAGACCAGCTTGGGCAATAGAGTGAGACCTTATCTCTACAAAACACAAACAAACAAACAAGCAAACAAAAAACTTGGCCAGGCATAGTGGCGCACACCTGTAGTCCCAGCTACTCAAGAGGCAGAGGTGGGAGGATAGCCTGAGCCTGGGAGACAGAGGTTGCAGTGAGTCGAGATTGTGCCACTGTACTATAATCTTGGTGTCAGAATGAGACTCCGTCTCAAAAAACAATAACCAAAAAACCCCCAAATAGTAGTAATAATTTAAAATTAGAATAAAACGTGAGCACTTATGATGTATTGTTTTTCACCATTTATGAATACCATTTTTTTTTAAGGACCTTGCTATATGGTTAGGGTTTGGTTGTTTGGAGGTGAAATTGGGGAAAGGCATTCCAGACAGAGAAAATGATATGAGTAAGTATAGGCAGATAGGAAAGATCATGGGGAACCAAGAGAAGGAATTGATGGTAGAAGATGTTAGAGTGAGTTTGGAATCAGACCATAAAGACATTCCAGTGTCATGCTAAGAGGTTTGGAAATAACCTATAGGGGAGTGATTGACAAACTGTTTCTAGAGACGGTTAGATAGTAAATATCTGTAGGCTTTGCCAGCCTTGTGGTCTCTGTTGCAACTATTCAACTTTGCCATTATAGTGTGAAATCAGCCACAAAATAAACAAAAGGTTGTGGCAGCATTCCAATAAAACTGTATTTACAAATAAAGGTAGGCAAGATTTGGCCTACAGACTATTATTTGCTGACCTCTGCTCTAGAGAAGAGGGACCCAATTGGTGACTTTTTTTTTTTTTTTTTTTAGAAATAGTCTCACTCTTGTCACCGAGGCTGGAGTGCAGTGGCGTGGTCTCAGCTCACTGCAACCTCCACCTCCCGGGTTCAAGTGATTCTCCTGTCTCAGCCTCCCAAGTAGCTGGGATTACAGGTACCGACCACCACACCCAGCTAATTTTTGTATTTTTAGTACAGATGGGGTTTCACCATGTTGGCCAGGCTGGTCTCGAACTCCTGAGCTCAGGAGATTCATCCGCCTCGGCCTCCCAAAGTGCTGGGATTACAGGTGTGAGCCACTGCGCCTGGCCCAGTTGGTGATTTTTAGGCAAAAAGGAGAGGTAATTAAACTAACTGCTGAACTAGGACAGTAGAAGAGGTAATGAAGGAAGAGATAGATTGGACAGAGCTTTTGAAGTAGACATTATAGATTTCATGAAAAATTCAAGGAAAAAAATAAGTCGTCTTTCATATTCTGGAGCCTAGATGGAGCTATAGATAATGGTGGAATCAAGATCCCCCAAATATTGGCAGGCTGGAATGATAGATCAAATATAGTTAACATAAGTTTTATAAAGGTCAATGTATGATCTTCGTTGAAAGGATTCAAAATGGTGTACTTAGCAGTTTACATTCAGAAATTATTTGAAGATTTTAGTTGACTACTCTCAAGCTCAATTATGAGTTTGAAGAGACAGCATAATGAAGCAAAAGAGTATTGAAATGATCTCAGAAGAACCCTTGGAACTATAAAACTAGTTATTCCATTGGATCCTTAAAATAACTGCTGAAGAATGTAAGGCATGAACTTTTCTCTATAGAGACAGAATATTTGGGAATTCAGATCTAAGTTTCTTTCACAATTGGATCCAGTTGGATTGAGCATCCATTCTCAAAACTTCACAATATTTTAACCTCAAGCAATTCTGACAGCGGAGTCTAGTCTACGATTTGAGTGTTAATATTACAACCATGGGAATTAGGTAAAAAGAATATTCCATAACACCATTTCTAAAGAACATCAAGAAACAGGCCAGGCGCGGTGGCTCACGCCTGTAATCCCAGCACTTTGGGAGGCCGAGGCGGGTCGAGCACGAGGTCAGGAGATCGAGACCATCCTGGCTAACACGGTGAAACCCCATCTCTATTAAAAATACAAAACGTTAGCCGGGTGTGATGGCGGGCGCCTGTAGTCCCAGGAGGCTGAGGCAGGAGAATGGCATGAACCCGGGAGGTGGAGCTTGCAGTGAGCCGAGATGGTGCCACTGCACTCCAGCCTGGGCGACAGAGCGAGACTCTGTCTCCAAAAAAAAAAAAAAAAAAGAAGATCAAGAAACCAAGGAAAAGAGAAGTTAAGTGGCTTGCTTAAAATCACCTTGCATTCTAGTAATCTAGTAATAGACTCAACATTAGAATCTTGTGCTGTTGTATTTTTAACCCAGGCTTATCTGTTTAATAACACGACTGGCTCTTGAAGAATATTACAGAGAGAGCTTTCCTCATGGAGTTCAACTACTTTAGACACTTCAGATTATTGCAAAAGTGTTCATTCTCACCATCTTTATGTAAGGTAGATAAACTACAATTAAGTAGGTAATAGTTAATTGCTATAACTGTATTCCGTTTGAAAAAAATATAAATTAAAATATATAATTTTAGGTTCCTGATATGCTTTGAATGCCTTAAGAGTCTCAAAAGGACACAACTACATTCTGAAATTAAGAAAATGTAGCCCTTAGAATTGCTTAAAATCATCACATTTCAAAAAAAAAATACTGATTTGTATAATTGTAGCTATTTTACATGACAATTATAACTAATAAAAATAATGATAAGACAATAACAAATCTTAATGGCTGAATGTAAAATAAAATTTGCTTTCTGCTAAGTAAGCTCTCAGGTGCACAACAAAGTACATAATGCTTTAGGTGTTTGTGTGTCTGTAAATGCCAAATAATGAAGAGTGTGTGTTTGTATATATCTGTACACACATATACATATATGTGTGTATGTGTGTGCAAACACTCATATGTACATGCTCACACAATATATAAAGGAAGAAATTAAAATTAGACAACATTATGCAATAAAAGTAAACATTTTGTGATTGATTTTTTGACTTTGCGTGCATGACTCATGCTTATTTCAAATACATTCAGAATGAGTAGACTTGTCCTTCATGTGATTGAAAACATACATTTTACACAACTTTTTATTGCTTCTCTGTACTTAGCTTTTAATCTAGGAAAAAGAAATGTGTAAATAGTTTAAATACTTGATTCCTCTTGGAGAATAAGTTGGTACAGAATAGAATAGGCTGGTAGCCCCAGGTAATGACTTCTGCCTTTCTTAGAACTTGTTTTCACCTTTGTTGCTTTATTTTTCTTTATTTTTCTCTTTTTTTAAAATTATTATTATACTTTAAGTTTTAGGGTACATGTGCACAATGTGCAGGTTAGTTACATATGTATACATGTGCCATGCTGGTGTGCTGCACCCACTAACTCGTCATCTAGCATGTTTCTTTATTTTTCTAGTTATAAGATTAGAAAAACTGATCAACTTTCATTGTACCATGAAAAAATGTCTTTAATCTTATGTTTCTTTATAGACATGATACATATATACAGAATAACTTGTTAAGATGATTTTTGAGTGGAGCCGCAATAAATGTTCATTCCATATTATTGCATTTAGGATACATTGGTAAATCAGAGGATTTTAAAATAAAGGTGGATTGGTAGTGAATATTTCTGTTACCCAGGTGCCCATCAGGCTTGGCTTATTCTGCTTTATGGCCTTGTAAACAATTTTGAGAAGTTTTATTATTTTTAGTGTACGTTGAGTAATTCTAATTACCTAATATTCTTCCTCTGGAGAGACTGAAAACTTCGACAATACACTAACAATTGAATTCACATATGCATATTTTATTTTAAACTGATTCTAAACAAGTTTCATTCTGTGGGTCTGTCATTGTGTTTGTCATTGTTATGCATAGATTCCACAGGACCTGACTAACATTTAACAGTATTAAGGGATGTAACATACATAGCAGTATGCTAGCAAGAGAGTGATTTTGTGATAGCTTCATTTTATGGATATCAATCCTGATTACTAGTGATAGACTACCATAACCCAAGATTCTTTTCAAGGTCATTGCCATGTTGATGCTTTCCTTAATATATTTACTTTTCCTAAAGAGGAGTGGTGTCCTTTTATGTATTCATTTGTGTGTGACTTTTTAAATAAGTATCTCTTAAAATCTATCAGAATGTTCTCTCATATGTGTGGACTAGATAGATTGCATTCAGAAATGCCATTTTAGATCTGATTATTAATCTAAAGGGGCTATGAAAAATAAAAAGAAAGCAAATTCATTTTGGGAATAATTTATTCAAAATAAATGTGCACTCTGGGACATGAAACAAGTTCACTTAATCTGTACAAACATTTAATGCAAAATCTTCAATTTAAATGAAGTGCCCCAGGTGAAGCTCTCCTCTCTATTGTCCATCACTCTTAGATGTTTTTGTGTTCTTTTACTTGGGATTTCTTCATTAATCTGGGGTAAATTCTTTTGTAGGATGAACTAAATAAAAAAAAGTAAAGTTTTCCATATGCTTTCCATTCACTGTCTATTACACTGAGTAAGGAAGCTGATTATCATATTTAATTTACATAGTTAAAAAAACCTCAAAAACCAAACAAAACCCAAACAGGTGGTTTGTATTGAAGAAATAAAATAAGCATTATTATTATAGAATAGGTCAATTCTTTTTCTATTACACATTACTTGGATAGAATAAAGTAGACAGCTCATGCTGAGAAAACTGAAATGTAGAGAATGCAAGAGTTAAAAGACAGACAATACACTCAGTAGTGTCTCAGGCATGGATCTCTGAAAATTATGAAGAACCATCCCACTTGAATGAATAAAAAGCATGAGCTTATCTGTTGTTTGCTTTCAGTTTTGAAAGTCATTTTATAAATTGGGGATGCTAATGATTTCATCCTTCTGATTAAATTTATAGAGTCATTTATTTCTCCTATGTTAAATGTATTTGTGAGGAATTCATGGAAATTATTTTTATTGCTGAATACAATTTTTTTCTCTTTAGAGGCACAGTTTTTGTAAAGTGAAAATATTTATGATTATGCTAGTATAGTCCTTAGAGTCATTTACTCATTTCTTTAGACTCTTCGGGAGCAAAATCAACCAAAAGGTGTCTTTGGTAATTTAACACTTAACCTGAGATGTTAAGGTTTTAATTTGGGAAATTCTAATTTTGGGTTCTAAATGGGTGTTTCCAAAGAGATATGATCATAGTTTTGGCAAGTATCATACAGTAAAATAAAATCCCTCATGTTACCAAATGAATTTTCTAAATATTTAAATTGAATAAAATGCTTTCTTTTTATACTGAAGTATATGCACTTCATAGAAAACTAATGATTTTGAAAGGTAGTTTTTCCCGTTTTTCTATTTAATTGACATTTAATTGACAGCATGTTTTCAGGAGCAGAGATTTTTGAGAGTGCTGATACATTCATATATTTTAATTGTAGAAATCCTGGACATGAGGAGTGTTTTGCATTAAGTTTCGCACCTGATCACATTCCTGTTGGAAGGTTTCCAGAGTGTGGTCTAGAAAGGACTGTTACTTCCAACTTGTGCCACTGAAATTAAGATCTACTCCCCAGAGAAGACAAGTGAATTAACACAGTATGCTTTATGCACAGTGAAAACAAACTAATTTGGGTTACTTACTACTTTGCTTAGAACTGCAAAAAGTGCAGTAGCATATACTTGCAGCTGATTGAGTGAACTCCATTTTTTATATTAAATATAGAATCAGTGATTTACTACAGGGCTTTGTTTCAGGTTCTTCTGAAATGCTAACAGTCTCTGAAACTAGGCTTTTGTGCCAACTACATTCCACAGCAACATTCTCTTCCTTTTCCATGTCCTCATTTTCAGCTCTTTATTGGCTGATTGTTGATAGCAAATAATAAACATTAAAAATCAACAGACCTATAACCTACATCTTTGTACATATCAAACACATTTGAATAGGGAAATATCATCAATGCCATATTATTAGCAAATAAAGAATAATCACTCAGACATGAAGAAGTATTCAAAGACTGGAAGATTTTGGTGATGAAGACAGGCGAAATAATAGAAATGTGCACCAGGGCTGTTGGTGTATCTTGTAGGGAAGATCTAGAAAATTAGATTAATCAAGGAGCAGACATTTGGAAGAAAGTTTGTGTGAATGCCTGACAGTCTTGCTCTTTCCCTCATTTCAAATGTTGGCAGGGTAGCAGGCAGCTCCAAGGGAAATGTGCTCCTTTCATACTTGAGTAATTGATGAATTGTATGCAATATGCAAATGAGAATCCATAAATCTTATGAATGACAGCTTAATTTATGTGAGCCTTAATGAATGCAGGATTAGATTTTAATTAAATATCCTCAAAGGCACCCTGAGTAGTAGATTTTTTTAGGCCTTGTTTTTTGAAGACTTGTTTCTCAAGCAATGCATTTTACAAAAGCGGAAAATCAGGCAAAGAATTCAGCCTATATTTTAATAATAAGCATTGTTTCATTTTACATAGAAAACAGCAGATCAATTGATTGGTCTTTAACAAAATATGTATAGATCTATTTATTTTCTAAACATTTCTCTAAATTCGATTACTTTTATTGTTGGTCTCTGATATCATATGCTATTTTTAATTCTGAGAAAGTTATTAAAACTTTACTAAAAAATATACCAGAGCTAAAGAATTGTTTAATAAGAGATATATTAGATAGATAAACATTTAAAGTATCAAATATAATTAGAATAAAATAAAGTCTTCCTAACCATTGTTTTCTTTTTCAAAATTGCCTCTCTAGACAATACTTAATGAGATAAGATGATAAATAAGACTATTTTATACATGATATTTAATAAGGAGACTTGTATACTAAAATTAAACTGAAATGATGTATACTCCTGTGGAATAGTTACCTCTTTAATTCACTTTAGTACCTTGAATTTAAATATAGATTTTTCATTGCCTATTTATTGGATGACAAAAAAATCACTTTATTTTTCTATTAGGCGTATACTTTTTTACTTAGAATTTGTTTAATTTAGGATGAAAATGCACATGTGATTTGGATGTTTAGATATCCAAACAATTATTTCTTACATTTAAAGCGTTTTCTTGTTAAGTCACGCTGAGTTTACTGTTTTTAATACTCATCAGTTGTTTCAACTAAATCAGTTTTAAATCTCAGACATGGAAGTATTCTTTTGCTTTTTCTCTCAGTAATGATACTAGTGCCTATGTGCATATAAATAGGAAAATTCACATTTTCCCCTATTAATGAAACAAACTTATAGGGCTTCAACATGCGGTCTATTCGCCTCAACTCCCTGTAGCATTACAAGTGTATAATTCATTGAGAAGAATAGAGGTTTAAAACATGCCAGGCAGAGTCTTGGTCCATAGCTGAGATTCTGAGGGGGAAGCATCTGTGAGGACCTCAACTGAAATTGCATGCACAATTTTAGGTAAATCACTATGTGTTCATTAATGATTAAAGGGGTCCGTAACTTTCAACAGGTTCTCCAAGGGGATTTGTTATCCAGAAAGACAAACTATAATGCAAAAGACAATAGCAAATACATAACTTTGTGGAGCAAAGTGTATCTATTTGAAACCAAAAAAGCCCCATGTAATCCAGTGCCTTTATAAACCATGCAGCTTTCTAAGAGATCAATCATGTGTAAGCATGCTTTCCTTAAATCTTCCACTCATATTTTTTAATACTGTATTATTTATTTTCAGAGCAATATCCAAACAAAATATCCTGCATTTTTGTTTTATTTTCAATGATGATTGCCATCCCAAATATTGTGAATTAAGGAGCTTATTTCTCTAATAGATATTATCAATTATATTTTTAATGTGTTTATGTAAAGAACATCTACTAATCAAAGTAAAATTTATACATGCTACATAAAATGGCAATATAATTCTAGACAAAACAAATTTTAAGATATTTAGCAAAAAATCAAGATTTAGCTAGCTTTAAAGTTTATATTTTATATAGTTTCATCAACTTTACTCTTATTGGTACCACTCCTTCCCTAGGGCATTTTACTTTAATATTAAATGTTAGATACCACAATGCACTCAGAGAAAGAGAGGACTAACACTTGAATGAAATGACAGCTTTTGAGAGGAGTTTTAGAAGTAGAATTCGATATTTTGGTTAATTTCTATTTACTTTCTCTCTCTTTTGTCTTCTTTTTTGAAACTCAGCTGAATCCGTAGGTTCATTTTCTTAGAGGCTACATTGCTCAAAACAATTAAAGCTTTGTCAAGAAAGGTGCCTTTTGAGAAACATGGTTTTTTGACGCTAACATTCATATTGCTTTGATGAGACTTGTTTTGCTAAAAATTTTTCAAGTCTTTTTTGTTGTACTAATTTTATGTTCAAAACCATTATTTTCAAGTTTTCTTTTGAATTTTTTTTTTACAGTTTCAGTTTCACTAAGATATGCTATAATCCACATGTAAAGTCCGTTTTTTGCCAATTGTAATATCACATTTTGATGTTTTGCACTTGCAAATGGAGTGTTAGAGAGAATTGCTTGTTCCTTTGCAAACCCAAAAGTTATAGTTAGTTGTGATTGACATTCATTATAACATAAAGGTTCATCCATGAAGAAACATTTCTAAGACGAGTGTTTGAGACTGCCAAATATTTGAATGTTTTTATTCCTCTAAAGTAGTCTTTATGGAGCTAATTGGAGCTTAAAAAAATACAAATGGACATAAATCATAAAGAAACTTACTTGCAAGTTCCTTTACAATTCTTCTCTGTTTAAAACTCTAGGCATAACATAGTTTCTTTCTTTTGATATCATAACTAACATACATTTTCTATGTATTTTTTGATATAAGTAATACTTTATTCAATTGACTTGGAAATAACCCATCTACTTTGCTGTGTATAAAAAAATTCAGAAATGGAAGTATATGGTATAGTTGTATCATATCAAGAGTGTTTCCAAGTTATTTTGAACAAGTTATAGAGCAGGTTTTAGGCAAATGTTGATGATCTCAGGATTTCTGTTGGTCAGTTGGAGTAATTTAAGATTTAAATTGGCATGCATTGAATATATTGTTTTTAGTTATTATAAATTTAATTTTATTTATTCATTCAGTAAATTATATTTGCTAAAGGGCAGAAAGTTTTGCCTAGTTGGGAGTCACCAAATGGAATTATCCAAGTATAGCAAGCTGTCTTCAGTACAGTTTTGATGAAGGTTTTCAAATGTAAAATTACTTCTCACTTGAGCTAAACAGGATAAATACAACTATAAACCCCTTAGAAGTTTTTGATGATAGAAGTTTTTTCATATTTGTTTCCTTTATTTTGAAAACAAACAAGTTGGAACTAGTTTCCATTAGATACGAATTTATTTTTCTACTTACCTTAGGTTTAAGTGAATGCCTACAAAATTTCAATACTGAGAGGGCTTTTCAGACTAATCTAAGAATTGCTGATTCCTATCAAAATAGTCTGAAAGGAAAGTGAAAACAAAAATACAAAACAGGCCAGGTGCAGTGGTTCAGGCCTGTAAGCCCAGCAATTTGGGAGGCCGAGGTGGGCAGATCACTTGAGGCCAGGAGTTTGAGACCAACCTGAGCAACATGGTGGAACCCCGATTCTACTAAAAAGACAAAAATTAGCTTGGTATGGTGGCACTTGCCTGTAATCCAAGCTACTCAAGAGGCTGAGGTGGGCGGATCACTAGAGCCCAGAAGGCAGAAGTTGCAGTAAGCCAAGACAGCACCACTGCACTTCAGACTGGAAAAGGCAGTGAGACTCTGTCTCAAAAAACAAAACAAAACAAAACAAAAAAGCAAAACAATAATTTATCATTTAATTTGTTAAGAAACAGAAGAGGATTGATGTGGGATTAGAACATAAATTTTTAAAAAACCACCTTACTAAAAACAGATTTTATTGCGTCAAATGCAAGTCAACATCAAAAGAGGTTTTTAATATTACTGTTCAGGTACCTATTTATTTGTGCGGTCTGAAGTTATAAAATATCTTAAAACATAATGCCAAATATTTGGGGAACCATGTTAACCATGTTAACTAGGACACATTTTATTTTATTTTTTAGATAGGATCTCACTCTACTGCCTCGGCTGGAATGCAATGGTGTGATCAGGGTTCACTGCAGCCTCAACCTTCTGGGGTCAAGTGATCCTCCTACCTTAGGCTCCTGAGTAGCTGGGGCTACAGGCATGTGCCACCACGCTGGACTAATTTTTTTTTTTTTTTTTTAATTTGTGTAGAGACAAATTTGGCCTGGTTTTCCCAGGCTGGTTCTCAAACTCCTGGGCTCAAGCGATCCTTTTGCCTCAACCTCCCAAAGTGCTAGGATTACAGGTACAAGCTGCTATGCCAGACCTAGACACATTTTAATAGGTTTTATTTTATTTAGGATAGAGAAATGTACAACGGTTTCTGGTTTTGACACAACAATCCATGAAAAAGATGAAAAGAAACCTGGAACTCAGCACATTCTGCTCTTTTGAATATAGATGGTACTGAGTCATTCCTTTACAAAGTCTCCAAATAACAGAGATATTCTAACCCTAGCCCCTGCTCCTAAGCATTGAGGGAGGAGGTGATAAGAATCCTCCTCCTCTCTTTAGCTACACCCCCAGCTCCATCGTAGTTTATGAGAAAGCCACGAATAGTATATTGAAGCCCCACAGCAATGATGTAGACATTGAACCCAGAAAGTTGAAGTTCATACAAGTAAAAACTGAAACCTGTACCTTCTGACCCCAAATCCAAAGCTCTTTCCTCAACTTTTGAAACTGAATGATACTGTGTGTCTGGCTTTTCAGTACTTTATCAACATATTTAGAACTATTGTTTCTAGCAAGATAAAATAATAAATGAGAAAATGATATATATCTGTTTGGGGATTATTTTAAATGCATACAGATTTTTACATTGATATAAGCCAAGCTCACTATGATGATAGTTTTCAAGTATTATTATCCGGAAGTACCCCCTTCCCAATTTTCAAGTTCTGTCCAGAAAGCTATTAAGTAACCAACCACTGCTTTCTTTGGTGTTCGGTATGACTTAGTCATGAGTAGCTGCAACTGGGAGTTTCACATAGGAAGGACTTGTTATATTCCACCTCGTAGTCATTAGAAGGGAATGTTGTTCTGTGAATTATTTTTTCTAAAAGAAGGAAAGAAGCAAGTTGATATTTTCTCTCAAAAGGTAGAAAATCTCATAGGAAATCAACAAATGTCAATATGGAGGGAGTTAGTAAGAAAACAAAACTTACTAAACTTCTTAAAATCACCCAGAATGTCTGTAAGGAAAGCCAAAAGGAAGATGGTTTCCTCACTTTCATCCTGATTGTATTACCTGTTTATAATACAGAAACTCATTTATAGCAAATGGCATATGCTGGTTGTATACTGCTAAGGAATATTACTTTCTAATATATAAATTATTCAAAGTGATGATTCATATACTGGAGTAAAAATAATTTAATGGTATAGACTTATAATTGCCTAAGAGCATAATTTCTAATTCTATCCTTATAATAAATATCATTCTAATAGATACACTATTCAAAAGGATTATTAAAGCTTCAGGTATATATTCATAACTTTAAGTGTCTATAATGTACCACTCAAGAAGTAAAATGCTTTAACATATTGTTAAGAACTTTCATCTAAAATCTTATTTTTTAAATGGATATCATATTTCTTTTTTTCCAACATACTTTTAAGGAAGAAAAAATGATATGAGGATTTCTTAATTATTTTATGATATCGCACAAAATAAATAAAAACCTAAGTTAAAACATAATTCATTGCACAGCAAATTACTGAAACAAAAGAGAAGAAAATGAGGACTAGTCCTTTTTTATTATTCATATGACTTGGTGATTATTTTAGTTCTTTTGAAATAGTGGCTGCAAATGAAACGTAGACTGTTAATTGTGACATTGCTATCAGAAGCCTCTAAAACCAAGCTGCTTTTAATGAATGCAAAGTCAGATAATTACAGAATTTGGACTACCCCTAGTTACCAAATGAGTAAAAGTGGCATTTAAGTGTTTGGCCCTTTAGTTCAGAGCTCTTAGTAGATGAAAATATGTTCATCTCTTACCTCCCCTAGTGATAATTATAATTGTATTGTTGGATCACATCTCTTGACTCTTGTGTAATTTAGCTCTGTCAGCATTAATCTCTTGGCTGTTCACATCAGTGGAACTAAATGTCTGCTTAATATTATGTAGGTTAGGTGGTTGTCATCCTAGTTGGGAGAAAACAATGAAAAAATTTACTGTGGTGTTAGGCAAATGTATTATGAGGGCATCAGGCTCAATATCTGAACATCGACACTATGTATAGGGAAATCATGTTTGGATATAGATTTTTACTTTCTTCAAATAAAGGATTAGTGTTGGCTTTGTTTCTTAAATATCCATAGGTAATGTTTCCCTATTTTTTCCAACCAATATTATTATTGTTGTTTGTTCTACAGTATTTTTAACAGGAAATAGCTGTGGATCATCAAGTAAGAGAGAAATGCATTTTATAATGCAGATTTACATTTTCCTTTCAGTATGTGATGACAGGGACATTTATCTGGGTGTAGGAACAATCTGACAAGTGTGAGAGATAACTGCTTGATATAAAGTAACTACTGCAAGAAAATAAACTTTTTGATAAAGACATCTTAGAACTGATAAGTAAAGTTTAGAGAACATAACTGTCTGCTATCATGTATCATGTTTTTACCTTTATATTGATCTGGATCTTTTATATGGATAGCAAAGCATTGACAAAGAAGGACTAAAGTAGACATTTATATAATGCACTTTCAGCTGCAGCATTATCTTTACATGTTAGCAGGCAAAGGATTCATATTTCATTAAAATACCGATAGTATTCTTTATAGAATCTGAAAATTTAAACACCATGGAGTGCTTTGGAATTTTAAATGAATGGTTTTCATTTATATTACATTTTAATTTAGTTAGTCAAACACATTTGTTAGACATGATTATGAGCTGAGCCTTGAACTAGACGTTATGGCTGACAATAGGGTAACAAGGTGTGTCTCTTGACACACCTATATATATTTCTGAGAGAGAAAATATATTTGGGGAATGCAAAAATGTGCTGTGAACAGCAAAAGATTTAAAACTTAGTAAGAGAGCATACAAATAAATACTATTCATATGTCAGTGAAGTCCAAATGTCTGCCAGCCTCCTGGAGTCCATTCTTTCTTTTCTCCCCTTCACATGCTGGAATAAGCCATGCTAGCTTTCCTTTGCTTTCCTGATCAGACTTAGGCCTTTTGCACTCACTAGTCCATTTGCTGAGACATTTTCTGCTGATTTTCCCATAGCTTCACCCATCCATAGCTGCTAACTTCTTGATATTCAAGTCTCATCTTCTTAGAGAAGTCTTCTGTGTACAAGTAATTTAAAGACAGCATTTTAGTAGTTTATTCATCTATTTATGTGTTGTCTTTCTTCACCTAGATTCTTCCCCAGTACGTAATAAACTCTCAATAAATATTGAACCAAAAAGATAAATAAAGAACTAAAAGTAGAAACAGTTAATATATTTCAATAAGGCTTCCTGGGGAGGTCACTTTTTATTTTTATTTATTTATTTGACAGAGTGTCACTCTGTGGCCCAGGCTGGAGTGCAGTGGCGTGATCACAGCTCAGTGCAGCCTCAACCTCCTGTGCTCAAGTAATCTTTCCACCTCAGCCTCCAGAGTAGCTGGGACTACAGGTTCATGCCACCAAGCCAGGCTAATTTTTAAATTTTTTGTAGTGATGGGGTTTCAGTATGTTACCGAGGCTGAGATTGAACTCCTTGGCTCAGACAATCCTCCCAAGGCCACTTTTAAAATCTGTTTTTGATGGAAAGAAAAGTGATACTCTTCTTCTTTACCCAAAAGAAAAATATAGGTAATAGAATAATACACACAGATAGTGAGCATAGTATAGAAAGTGTACTGTGACTTCTAGAAAAAAATCTATGTCTATTCTTTGCATTGCATGAAATTGTAATGTGAACTGAAATGTAGTCAAATTGGTGAGAATGTGGGGTGTTAAGTTTGTAAAGAGGCTGAAAGACCAAAAGAAGAGGCTTGGTACATGCTACAGTAAGACATGGGATCTATGTTGTTCCTTGAGCAGAAAATCCTATGATTAAATAAGCCATTCTATTTTGGGTCAAAGACAACCTTTCAAAGGTGGCCTACAAAGGCTCATTTACTTTTGTACTTAAGAAATAGCACCAGAGGTTGCATTCATACAGAAGAAGGAGCCTCTTTTAAATGCAAATACTCATAATTTAAGCTTTTAACTTTAATTATCAATTAAATCCTCGCAGGGTTTAGTTGACTGTTGAAAGCAAAATACTAAGATGTGTAGATGTCTGGGGTGATGGGTTTAAATGTCAATGGGAGGAGTAAGAATGCCAACAGAAAAGAAAGCTCCACTAACAGTAGAGACATGAAGATTGCCAGATTATAATTTTCCTAAAGCTTGCTTTGGCTATTACTTAAAAATCTTCTTACCTAATAATTTTTATTCTAAAAGCAATGGGTAGGATGGTTTATAAATGGGAATGTTGATAGAGCAGCCAGTTATCAGGATAACATAAGATCCTAAGGAAATATGCACCTAATTAATGAAATAGCAAACAAATGGAAAAGAAACAATATGTTTGAATACATAATCAACTCTACTTGGTGATGGAGATTACAGAGAAGGGAATACAGTTTTAGAAGAGAAAGAGGCCTCAGCAGTGGGTGAGCTAAAGCCTGTAACAAATGCCAGTGTCAATTTTACAACATCCTGATATACTGAGTAAGTTATCTAGCTCTACCTGAACATTGAAGGGAGAAGGATCTGGGAGAAAGAGATTTCTATTTTTTTTTTTTTTTTTCAGATATGGTCTTGCTCTGTCATCCGGGATGGTGTGCAGTGATGCGATCATAGCTCACTGCATTTTGGATTTCCCTGACACAAGTAATCCTCCTCCTGAGTAGCTGGGAGTATAGGTGCACCACCATGCCCAGCTAATTTTGTTTTAATTTTTAGTGGAAATGAGGTCTCGCTATGTTGCCCAGACTGGTCTTGAACTCCTGAGCTCGAGAGATCCTTCTGCCTGGGCCTCCCAAAGTTCTGGGATTGCACGTGTGAGCCAGTGTGCCCAGCCGGAAGAGAGCTTTTTTTTAAGTCTAACTGTTATGCTCTTTCTTCCGTTTGGCAAAAATAATCTATTACTGAGTTCATAAGTGAAAGGAATGAATTTAATCTGTCTTTTATTTGGTTAGCTTTTATTCAATATTTTAAGGTTCCCATTTTGTTCTCATCTTTTCCATGTGAGACCATATGCTCTCTTTCCTTCTTCATTTGTTCTGGACTTTCGAATCCTTCAACCCTGTGGTTGTTCTTTTCTGGGGCCTTCTAGGTGATCCATGATCTTTTTAAACACTGGGACACGTGATTCTACAGAGTCTTTGGGTAGCAAAAGACCAAATGAGAGTGACATGCTCTCATTGGTTCTGGTTACTCTAATTAACACTTATTAATATTACTGTACTTGATTTCTGTGTTTTTTTTTTAATTTAAAAGTTTTTTTGGACTACTAATTCCATATTGGTTTTGACTGAAAAAACGAAAGAGATGTTAGATCTAAAGATCTGACTGATGAGCTTATGATGAATATGGCAAGTCTCAAATGTGGCTGGTATATTCAATGGCATACATCAAGATACAGGCTATCATTATATTCCTAAGTAGCAGGAATCTGAAGAAAACTAGATTTTTTTTTCCATCGACTTTATATTTTCCTCTCCCTGAGAGTTACGAAATGGACAATTTAAATTATGAATGGAAACGCAATTTAACGAAAAAACATAAAAATGTGTAAATAAGAAACAAATCTAAGCGGGCATAGAGGCATAGAATTAATGTGTGTGTGTGTGTGTGTGTGTGTGTGTGTGTGTGTGTGATTACACACACAGGTCCTTGCAGTGTTTTCATTTCTGGTCACCACCTTAGCAAACTAATCAATGAGGCATGAACTGCTATCTGCAGTGAAAGAAATGTAAAATAAACCAGAGATAATCCCTCAGTTAAAAGGTTATTCTGTGTGATAAAAGCTATTTTGTTAATTTATTTACTTACTGGTACAGTGAGATAAAGTGAAAGTACAATTAGGCATTTCTTGTTGAAAGAATTTTAAAGGGCAATGATGACTTAATATTCTGTATTATTTGACTGACATTTAAAATAATTTTTAAACTAAAATTTTTTGTAGCACACAAAATTGTGTATTATTTTGCTTTAGTTTATTTTATATTTTGAATTTTGTAGGTGTGTACATAATATAATTGATTATTCAGTAAAAATGAATATAAAATCTTCTTTGGATGAATCCTTAGCATTAGGTCTCTTAATTTAATGAGGGATGGAAATTTTTTGGAAAGGCTATTCCTGTAAAGTAATATTTTCTGTTAATTACATGCATGATGTATACTTTAAAAAAATAGTTAATTACCTAATGCATGCAAGGCTTAAAACCTGGATGACAGGTTGATGGTTGCAGCAAACCACCATGGCACATGTATACCTATGTAACAAACCTGCACATATATCCCAGAACTTAAAGTAAAATAAAAATAAATTAAATTCAAAAAATAATTCATTTGTTTCTTCTTCAGCTGATTCATCCAGCAAACAGTAATACTTTTATCCTTATTACCAGACCATTGAATTCTGGCAAAAGAGGAATATATAGAACATAGTTGCTGCATTTAAAGGTTTTGTTGGCAGACTAAAATAATACATAAATTATTATGTTAATAGAAAGACTAATATGATACTATGGTATTCCATGATACAATAGAAGTAAAAGGCAATTGGTGAGCACTTGGGAAGATTAGGGAAGAAGTTGGTGAGAATTGGTGTAGGGCTTCTCACATGTACAACTGAAGGAATGGGCATTTCAGGAAGAAGGATTAGATCTGTAAAGCATGAATATGTGAAAGTAATTAGGTTCCAACTACAGAGTGAGGGTAGGAAAGTTATGAGAAATTATACCTGAAAGGAATTGAGGTGCTAGATTTTGAAGAGTCTTGTATGCTATGATAAGAAATTTGGTGAATATTTAGATTCGCAGAAGGCACTGAATGTGCTATAATGTTATTTCTATATAGAACACTTAGGTCAGTATCAAACACTACAGGAACACAGGAGGACCTGAGAGAAGGCAGGAGCAATGTGAATGAAGAAGAGAGTGAGTTGGAAGATGTATCATAGGCAGAATCAATAGAAGATGATGATTATTAAGCTAAGAAGTAGAAAGTACATTGAAAAAGAGGGAAGGATTGGGAAGACTCTCTGGGCTCTGGTTTTGGGGATTGGATGGATGGTGGTTTATTTTCTGAGATATGTAATGCAATAGGTAATGAGGTGCAGGTTTAAGGTAGAAGATAAGAAGTTTACATCAGACATGTTGAATTTGAGGCACTTGTGAAATGTTCAGATATCACTTACACCTCTAGAAAGATAGATTTCAAACTCAAGAGAAAAAGGAAAACATTATTTCTGTATTCCCAGATGTTTGTTTTAATAATTGATAAGCTAAACTTCAATTTAATTTCTAAGCTGATATGAAATTATTTGAGGGGTATAGATTTTTCAGTCTCCAGAGTTTTTGTTATTTTTTTTTAGGAGAAACAACTGAAGAAAATTATTTTTCAGAGCCCATTAATTGTTCCCCGAGACTGAAAGTTGTCTTTTTATTTACATAAAAGACATATCTCGTTCTCATTGGAAATACTCTGCATTAATATACTCTATGTTCACCAATAGACAGCTATTGAAATTAGCTATTTCAATAGATATCAACAGCTGTTAAAATTTCTGTATAATACTTTTACTCAGAGAAATCAGGCAGGGCAGGAGGAAGAATAGTGACATTGAGT
Organism: Homo sapiens; assembly: GCF_000001405.40. Taxonomy (NCBI): domain Eukaryota; kingdom Metazoa; phylum Chordata; class Mammalia; order Primates; family Hominidae; genus Homo; species Homo sapiens. The sequence continues at coordinate 71,715,526 of NC_000013.11, read as the reverse complement.
TAGAAATGAGATTAAGATAATGGCACAAATATAGGAAACCGCCTTCTTAGGTTGGAAGAATGTACCCTGAACAGAGCAGCATACACACAGCCATCTTTTTCCTTTGTGCTCACTGTTCACATTCTTATTAAATGCTCTATGCTAATATTAGCTTCTTTGACTATTTTATTTCAGGTTTTTAAGTTTTATTGGCTATAGCACTTCTTGAGGGTGTTAGGGAAGGGAAGATGTGGATACCAAAAGGTTAAGTGACTTGTCAAGGTCACACATCTAATAAGTGACAGCTTCTGTCTTTTGATCCATGGCAAAGTGACCTTTTGTCTCTACTATTCAGAGGCACCATGGTATAATGGAATAAGTACAGGCTTTGAAGTCGGAGATACATGGATCTGACATAAAGATCTAAAATTTATGAGTCATGCTGTTGGGCCAGTCAGCTCAAATTTCCTCATCTGAGAGATGGAGATAATAATATCTGCCTAAAACGGTTGTTGGAATTTAAATGAGATAGATATTTTACTTACCTGTTAGTAGATGTTCTGTGTATGTTAGCTATCCCTTTTTTCTCAGTTAAGTCACAACCTTAACTCCTTGTTCTCAAACTTGGAAAAAAGAGAATCAGTGAAGCCACTATCAAGAGTTGAAAGGGTAGACCAATACTTTCTCTGCCTATTTTATTTCTTGGCTTCATGATCTTCTTTCCATCCTTTCTATTTTAAAATACATTTTTAAAAAATCTCTCTTATTGGTGCCCTAAATATTCTAAACATTGATAGGTTTCTTTAAAGTCAAATTAGTGTTTAACCTGCACTTTCAGTAATATTTTTTATATTACTACTTGGAAAGTCAGCTCAAGAACGGGATAAAAATATTAATCCTATATTTTCATAAGGAATCTTTACTAAATATAATAAAATTCCACAGATGTCTTTTATTTTTTGTTTCGTCCTCCCATTTCTCAAATGTGTATAATACTGGATGTAAGCATACACCAATGTAAACCTACACCTACAAAAATGAATTTCAACTAATAACTAACTTACTCAAGTTAAAGTATGAACAAGTTGTTGCTATAAACATGATACTTTTCGAAAAGGATTCTTACTATTTTGTAATTCTGGAAAAATATTATTTTAAGGACAACTATTGATACAATGGCCCATGTCCTGTTTTGTTTTGTTTTGTTTTGTTTTGTTTAATTGTCCCCGTTTCTTCGTTCTGTTAATATTTTTAACTCCTTTTTATATGGGGGCAAAATTCTATTTTCTTCTTATTGGTACGTTGAGGCCTAGTGTTGCCATAACAAAAATCTTATCCACATGATCCAACTCTCCTATTGGAACCACTGAAACTGTTTCTATGAAAGTGTACCATAAAATAGCCCATATGAAATAATATTCAGGAAGATATGATATAGCTGAGCATCTATTTATGCACAGTTGACATTTTGAAGTAATTCATAATAGTTAATATGTAATAAATATATGATATTCAAGTATCTGTAGAGACATTTTGAGAGAGCTTCAAGTAATGATAGAATAACTTTTCCTTACCATTATTTTATCTTTATTAATTTTTTCTTAATATTGTAGTTGAAAATAAGAAGTGGTAAAAAGGCTGAATCTGAACTACCTCTATAATACTTATTTATGATTATTAGAAATTATATTTGTCTAATTTTTCTGAATTTGATCATTCTCTTTTAAAATTTTGCTTGTAGTATTACAAATTCTTGAAAACTGGATTTAAAACAAAAATCTAATACACCTTTTATTGAACGAGATGGGAATGATGCTACTACAATTTATCTAATACATTGCTTATCATGCTGCAATTGCAGAATAACAAATATTTTAATTTGTATCTTTAATCAATTATGTCTTCATACCTTTATTGCCTGTAGAAGAACATAGACAAAATTTCATACAGTGTTACCTTTTAAGACAGATCACCATGAGAATTTAATAAAATGACTAAGTTAAATGTAAGATTATCTAAATCTATAATGATTTAAATCATCTGTTTTTTACTAATGCATCCAGAAGCTTTTTTTGTGTGTGTGGGATTAGGCCTTATCTGCAAATAAACTTTGGTAGTGATATAATTATAAGAGAACAATAATATATTTCTGTAGTCTACCATTTAGTCCATGTTTTATGCACGTTTAGACCATTGAATTAATCTCTGAAACAATAGAAATAAATTCTTTACTAGAAATAGCTTGCTTTTGCCTTGGCTTTGTGGCAAAGCGACATTAGGGAACATATATGGTTGTTGTTGAACCTGATTGCTTTAGCAGCCCTTGGGTTGATAGTATCAGGTTCCAGCCTGCCCTGCTAGGTCAACGTGGACCCAGGGCTTTAAAGAGAAAAGTTCAGGGAAAGTTCACTTCTATTGTTTTACCATGGTTACAAAACAGAAAGGAAAAAAAAAAAAAGAAGAAGAAAAGAAGAAATCTTGGGCTTGTGACCCCTTGCTGCCATGGGCCCATTACTGGCTTCTTTTTGTTTTTGTCAATTAAACATTGCATCAGAGAAAATTAAAACTTACAATAATCTATAAAGGAATAGAAGCCAAAGTTTATTCTATTATCACTTGTAGGCAATCCTCAAACATATTCAGTGACTGCTAGAGTCATTGCTATAAGTGTTTAATTTCATTTTAAATGTTATTTAAATTTTCCATTAGTGAAATATGAAAAGGTTGTTTATTGATTTTTTGGGGGGTAAAGGAAATAGTTTATTAAAAATAATTTAACGCTGACTAAATAGGTTGAAATAAGTATTTATTTTAAATTAAGGGGGGAAATGTAAACTAAAGCAACATTTTCATTAAAAAAATTTTTGTTTACCTTAAATGGCAAGAAGTTGTGATATGTAATAGGCCAGCATGTCGTACATGGAACAACCTCTAAGTTTCTTTTGAATACAGCTAAAAATTCAAACCAATTTAAAATCCTGAACTTTAGACTACAACCTAAACTTGCAGAAATTTTTGTTCTAAAAACATTTGCCAAGTGTTTGTTCTGAGGAAGGTCAATGCAATGTAGTTTATTTCACATTTTGTCCTCTGAGCCTATAAAATATTACAGCTAAAGCAGTATAGCTGAAGCTATTCTTATTTTAAAAATATTAATGATACCCATAATATGTATGTTATCTATATACCCCAGACATAATCATTGCCTGATATTTCAATTTAATTTTTGTCCACATTTTATTTTTAATATGAATTGATATTCAAAAAAAAGGTTTTCAGATTGAAGTTCTAAGAAAAAAAGATTTAATTTCTGAAAAAAATATGATTTAAGAATATATATTCAAATGAATTAAAAGAAATCTACATTAGATATTTCTTCAGTAAAGACATTATGGGTCATTTTAGAATTTCTATTATTATACTAAAAATCCTGTATCATTTTTTATTTGTCATGCATTCCAATGCCAGAGATGAGAAGTGAAGGGGGGATTACATAGAACCAAGATAACAGATGAATCTTTGTAACTCTTTGGAACGACATTAGCTATGGTTATATGCTCATTTGTTTATTGATCCTTTGCTGTTTTGGTTAACATAATTTATTTTCCTTGAAGTCACCTGTGTCAAGCATAGAACTGAACTTTCTCATGATCTAGATAGAGTGTAATAAAAGAAAAGGGAAGTATTTAAGTATCTATTTAAATGAGTCAGACAATGTAGCAAGTATCAAAAACATTCCTCATGTGACTTTTATCATATCATTTATAGTAATCAAAAATAACATTCGTGCTAGTCTTATCATAAATACCTGCTATTTTCATTATCACACTGAAATGACAAAATTTTAAATGGTCCCCATATTGCTTATTCTTTTAACATGTGAAGGATAGATTTTTTAAAAAAAATTAATTCTGGTTTGATTACAAATGATTATTTTAATCTGTCATCCACACCTTTTCAATGTGGTTTACTCATGTTAAAATGGGAAATATTTAATGTGTAGAATGTTTAACATTGCTGATGATCACTTCTGAATAAAAAGGACTGCTTGAGTAACCGAATCAGGTAGCAGATAAAAAGTAGTTTATGACTTATGAATTCAGAGGTCATCTAGTCCTTCACCTGCCTGCAGACAGGACTTACCTCAACTATTCAAGATAAATGGCTGTCTTAGATGTTAAAAACCTTCAAGAGAAGAGTCTGTGGAGACCTTCCCTGATAACCTATTCTAATGTTTAACTGCTCTAATGAGAGGAAGAACTATTTTTTCATATCTCATCTATATCCCTCCTGTTGCAGTTTAAGTGTTGATACTTATTTTTAATGTTATTTTCATGCTCTTTATTGCTGTGTATTCTGAATTTATTATTGGCCAGATTTTCCCAGTGCATGAAGTGTTAGAAATAAATTTCATGCATTTTTCAAGGATCCAGCCTAGTGTATGACCTAAACGTGTATTGCTTAACTTCAATGGCTTTGCAATCCTGTTTTCTTTCTACTTAGAACCATTTCTTCCATCAATAAAGAGACATAATTATTTACTTTTATATAGAATAACTGACTAGGGTATTGTTTGATCCATTCATGCCCCAGTGAACTAAACAGCTGTAATATGAATTGGTTAAGTAATATTTAATTTTTCTAAAATTTACCCCAGAAGTCAACTTCTAAGTGTCTTCCAAAAGGGAATTCCTCAAAGACTATCAAACCCTAATACAATTTTTAAGTAAATTTCTTTGCTTTGCAGATGTTCCACTGAATTCATTTCTTCTGCTATTTTATGTAAGAATTTTTTAGTAAAGAGGGAAGAAAGGAAATGTTGGAAGATTTTTAGGCAGGCTGTCATGTGTTTTCCTACCTGGCCACCTCCAAAATGATACTTACTCAAACCTTATTTTGTCTTTTAATCTTTCAGTGTCTTTCAAATAGAAGCAGTTCAAAAATCTAAATTCCTTAGTGTGGCTTACAAGATCCTTTATGATAGCTCTTGTTCACTTTTCCATCCTGTTTTTCTTGTAACACTCTCCTCCTGTTCATCACACACACACACATAAACACACACACACACACACACACACACACACACACACACACAAAACCCTCATATTTGAACCTCACTTTCAGGCCCCATAAAATTCTAGTTCTCATTAATCTCTGGGGCTTTCTATGATCCTCTGCGCATCCCTCTCAATGGTCCAATTTGCGTGGCACCTTTTCTTTAAAATTTGGCAAAGATGAAAAGTCCTTGAGATGGAATCTGAAGGGAAATGTAATTTTCTTTATAAAAATCAATTTATTAATGTATTTACACAGCATTATTTCAAAGTCAAGCCTTATGATATTTTGAAGTCAGGAATTGTCTTTTTCTTTCTTTTCAATCCCTCTTCAGACAAATAAAGTTCTAGTCTCTGTTCCCAATAAGTAGACTATTTATAATCACATTTGGATGCAAGATATTCATAAAATTACAAAAAATATATGTGTAAGCCTAGACAACATGGTGAAACCCCATCTTTACAAAAAAATACAAAAATTAGCCAGGCATGGTGGTGCAAACTTGTAGTCTCAGCTATTAGGGAGGTTAAGGTGGAAGGATCGATTGAGCCCAGAAATTCGAGGCTGTAGTGAGCCGTGATCACGCCACTCCACCACTGCACTTTGCTCTTTGAGGCAGAGCAAAACCCTGTCAAATATATATGTGTGTGGGTGTATTTATTTATTTATACAGTAATGTTCCCTTATCTGCAGGGTGTACATTTCCAGACCTTCAGTGGATTCCTGAAATGGCGGACAGTACCCAACTCTCTATATACTATGCTTTTTTCTATATGTGCATACTTATAATAAAATTTAACTTACAAGTTAGGCAAAGGAAGAGATTAGCAATGACTGATAATGAAATAGAGCAATTATACCAATATGCCAGCATCACTACTCTGGCCTTTTCACACCCTTATTAAATAAAATAAGGATTACTTGAACACAACCACTGCGATACTGCCACAGTTCATCTGGTAACCACAAGAGTTAGTTACTAAGTGACTAAAGAGTGGGTATACATGGCCTGTATACTCTGGAAAATGGACAATTCACGTCTCGGTGGGACAAAGCAGGACAGCACAAGATTTTATCACAGTATTCAGAATGGCACACGATTTAAAACTGTGACATGCTTATTTCTGGAAGTTTCTATTTAATGTTTTTGGACTGTGGTTGGCAGGGGTAATTGAAACTGCCAAGAGCAAAACCATGGATAATAGGGGACTACTGTATATATAACGCATTTTATTAATCAAGGGAAAATTTTATATATTTCAGTGATGAATTGATATTTTAAAAAAGTACATATATAAGTTAAGTTTGGCTATGAAGAAGTTAAATCATTTAAAAAATACGGCCAGGCACGGTGGCTCACGCCTGTAATCCCAGCACTTTGGGAGGCCGAGGCAGGAGGATCATGAGGTCAGGAGATCGAGACCATCCTGGCTAACATGGTGAAACCCCGTCTCTACTAAAAATACAAAAAAATTAGTCGGGCATGGTGGCGGGCGCCTGTAGTCCCAGCTACTCGGGAGGCTGAGGCAGGAGAATGGCGTGAACCCGGGAGGCTGAGCTTGCAGTGAGCCGAGATCGCGCCACTGCACTCCAGCTTGGGCGACAGAGCGAGACTCCGTCTCAAAAAAAAAAAAAAAAAACAACAAAAAACTTGGAAACCCTGAGAAAGCTTATTGACAAAGTAATAATCATAAGCAACATTTTAAGAACATTTAGAGAAGAATTGGATGTAGAAAAGTTGGTAACAAACAATACTTGGAAGATATTAGCTTGCTTATCTGAATGTTTTGCAAACCATATTACAAGAATCACTGTAGGCTATTTAAATCTTCAACGAAGATTATTTTGCAGTTATTACACTTAGATATATTCTTCATAATATATTATATGTTAATATATTCTTCAGTTTCATAAATGGTATTGATGAGATTGGATACAAGAAAGGGTAGCAGTTTGATATGGGAAACACCAGAAAACTTCTATTCAAATGTTTTATTAAATAGTTTTCAACTAAGTATTTTAGCCCAAAATAAAACATGCAATCTCTTTCTCCAGATCTGTATTTGAAAAAATGAAATTATACTGATTTCAGATAATCCTCTCTTTAAAATAATAATTTACTAAGTTAATATGGTCATATTCCTATTTTGAAGGAATTAAGTTGAGAAGTGAAAAACTTAATAAATGAACTGCTTTGATTCAATCAAGTCAAGCTTACTTTTAATACCAGACTTTAATTTGACTATATGGTTTGCTTGTTGATTGCTTTGTTGTTATAGATCGAGGCACAGGAATAAGCCATGCAGAAGAGACTATATATTTCAAATGCACCCTTAATCAGGGTTTTTATTTTGTTTTTACTTTTTTTTTTTTTCATTTTTGGTTTTAGTGAAAATCGCCAGTTTGTTTGTTTTTTGCTATAAAACTTAAGTGCTTTATTTTAATTTATAGGTGATTACTAGCCTTTGGAGAAAAAGAAGTTAGATTACTCACCAAGTATATTATTATGCTTTTCCACTTCAGTGGGCCTGGTGAAACTTTCTTATGAGCTCTCTTTCAAGGATAAAAGCCAAATAGTGGGAGGTGTTTTTGAAACACCATGTGCCCTTGAGTATGGCTCACTTACCCATCTCTTCATCCTCCCTTTCATTGTTCTCCTACAGCCTGTTATTTTTAAATCTAGATTTCTGCCATTATCTTCTATTAAAGATGCCACCCTCTAGTCTTTTTCTCCAACTTTACGTTTACACCAATTTACATTTCATTCCATTTCCTTGCTTAAAGTTATTACTTTTCTTATAAATAAAATCTAGGTAGGCTTTTAAGGCCCTTGGAAATCTGATTACAAATTATCCTCTCTTAATTTCATCTTCTCTAGATGTAAGAGCCTAATTATTACGTCTAAACAAATATTATGTCATGCCTTTGTTCTGCTTCTGTTCTCTGGGATTATTTGCCTCTCCTTACTTTCTTTTCCCTTGCCAAATTCCAGTTCACTTTCATGACCAAGTGTTCAGGGAGGCTCAGGGCTACTCCTTCCCCAAAGCCCACCATCTGCATTTGGGCACCGTGTACACAGGCTCACTTTCAGGACAAGCCCAGTGCAAAATACAAATGTAGGGTCCCTTATTTTAAAATGGTAAGAATTCAAGATGCTGACAGCAGAGCATTAAATCCAGCAGAAGAAACTCTTCCAAGCACGTGACTTGTGCAGCTGCACAGGTTGCATGCCCTGCTGAGACTTCCTCAAGAAATGCTCCCATAGCATGTAGTTCACATCTTTATTATGTTGCATTTACACAGCATGCTTACTGCATGTGTATGTATGTGCCTGTCACCCCAAGAGCTTGCAAGTTCCATGAGGGGACAGACCTGTCTTAATGTTCTTTCAAGTCCTTTGACCTAGTCAATTTCCTCACAGGAAGAGATACTCACTAAATGTATTAAATTAAATGTGAAGATGACTATGGGAAATAAAAACATTCAAATGTGTGTTTATCTAAGACTTTAATATCAAATAATTTGTGAAATAAAGTTTTTAGATATATTAAAATGAAAATCATAGTTTATCAATACGGTCTTTAAAACAGTTTAAATAGCGACAGTAAACTCTTACTGTACCGAGGCAGATTCATTATAAATGTGAGAATTCAGTTGGAAATAGAGTTGAAAGAATAATTCTAGGACATACAGTATTAACTTGACTTTAATATGAGAATTAATGCATTTTAACATTTTTCAACTTTATATAATACTTCAAATAAGAATGCATATTTTGGTCTGAAAAAAATAGATATAGAATAAAATTGTGTAGTGAAAAAAATTACCACAAGCCAAGAGAATTATTCTGAAAGAATTTAGGTGAGTGAAATTATCAAGAAAACATGATAGTTCATATTCGTGAAGAAATCAATTTTATTTTTGTATCAAGCCAGTGCTTGAAAAGAATGGAATATGTCCAAGTAATCACATCACATGTTTTTGCTAAATTTCAGATAATTAAAAATAAATAGCAAACAAACTGGGAAATTATGTCTTATTGTTTTGATTATTTCAAATCTGAATATTTGCAAATATGCTATCTTTGTTGGGATTTCAATTAAGCAGGCTGTTATTAAAAATACATCTCACTGTAAAAAATATAAATATGCTACCCAATAGATTTCAATTAATACTAAGTTCTTAAATGGATGAAAGGCTAATAATATGTTTTAATTAATATAAAGATTAATAATATAATTAATAATATGTTTTTATCCCTTTTGTTGTCCTGATTCTTTATAGAAAATCAAGGAAGTTGTACATAATAAAATGCCACTTAAAAACTCTAAGATGATATAGGGTTCTATTGTGAGTTCTGTAACATTCGCATTAGAAAATATCCTATTCTGACTGAATTTTTACATGACTTGAAGCTGGTGGTAAAGGTAGAGAATATTTATGATGACAAGGTTTTGATCACTAGATTTCTTGATTGATAAGAAAAAATATCTGATAGTTTCTAAAAAGAAAAATAAATATATGCTATTGTACAAGGGTACAGAAGAAAAAGGATATAAATTGAAGGTTAGTTGTTGAACAAGTGTGCTATGGAGAAAAGGGAAAAGGAGATATGAATAGAGAAGCACACTTACAGAATTTGTATGAACCATATGATAATTACTAATTGTTTTAATGGAGACTTCATGACATGCTCAGAAGAGATAAGACTTGATTTACTTGATTCTAAAAAAAAAAAGAAAGACTTTTCATATAGAGATCTAAGTGGTAATTCCAAAGTCTTTTGGCTCTTTAACATCAGAAAATAACTTTTCCCAAGTTTTTGCTATGGAAGGATTGGAGGAGTTTCTTTGGTAGCTAACAAATTGCCTATCTGCCTATACATTCATTGATAGGCTTGAGCTATGTGAATTCAATGAAGAATTCAAATCCATAAAACATTTTTTGAATAAATTCATTTTTAATGATGTTTAATGATTTTTTAATGATGAGTTCTAAATGATGTTAAACCACTGTCTTCCATACACTTCAGCAGTCCTTATCTACTTATAAGCAAGTGCTCATTTGCAGACAGGTTTGTTAGTTTCTTCAAGTGAAGCCCAATGTGCTGAGAGAGTTGTAGCCAACAACATTTCGGTCCCTAAATAGCGCTTTAGAGCATTTTCTAGTTTCTGGTTGTGGACTTTATTCTTTTTCCCAACCCAGAGTCATTGAATAAATAAAGATAAAAATCTTAACACAAAATATTATTACTAGAGGAAAACGAAGTCCAAGATTTATGACAGTCTACCTTGACAATATTCACTCTGTACTTAGCTGTTTGATAATTTTTGGTCCTGTCCTACACCTTATATCTTGAACAGCATTATCTCCAAACACAATGGATCACTCTTTATATATGTGCTAGGAAATATAGCTTAGTGCTAGTTTCAACATCACTACCATAAAAATGTGAATGTAAATGAATAGTCTTTTAATCAAAATGTATCAGAGAAATTACCGAATTTATTTTATTTTTGTATTTTATTTTTTTAATTATTTTATTTCTTCCAAAATGATTTTAGAGGAACTACCTTCAAACCAGTACAAATATTTCATAAATAGTATCTGGCCGATTTCTAGCCAATTGAGCAATTTGTTGCACAATAAGCCACCTCATGTCTTTCAGTAAAAAATAACATTAAGTTCAAATAATAAAGACGTTACACAATAAATTAGGACACAATTAAAATTTGCTTTAAATATTTCTTGGGGGGAGGGGACGCCATACTTCTACTCAATAAAGAGAAACATTTTCACAGTCCAGAGATCTTTTATTTTTATTTTTTAAATACCTTTTAAGCCATGAATCCACAGGGAAGAGGTTCCAGCAGCTCAGGCTCCCTGCCATGGGTTCTCATAAAGTGTGCTTCTCTGGGTGGAGCAGGCTGGTGCTTCAGTTGCACCCAGGTATGTTTCTCTTTGGCTTCCTTCTGTTACTGATCACTTTCCTTCACACATTTCAGGAAGCTATCTCAGCTCTTAGAGTTCTTCATATACTCAGTACGCACATTAATTCTCTTTGCAAGAAGCTTGCCCTTAACTTGTTTAAAACAATGTCAACAGCATGCTGGGGAACATGGTAGACTCTTCCAGTTTTGCCATGGTAACACCTGTGGAGCATTCCTTTTTGAACAGTACGCATTCTCTTGATGTCTACAATATCACCTTACAGATTTGCATATTCGTGGCCAAAGGATCAACTCTATGTTGTCTCAAAGGCCTAGAGAACATATATCAGGTGCCTCTCTTCTTTCCCTTTGTTTTTCTCATTTTGATGAATTACTGGAAGATGGCGGGTCCAGAAAAAAGGACTGCATTGATTTTTGAAGCAAAGAAGCATACTTAAATATATTGTATTTTTTAATTAAAATCGGTTTGTCTCTACACTTCCTTATTTGAAGAGATGAAATGTCATCATTAAGTAGTTTGAAAGTGAATTTTTATCACTCTATTTTGAACTCAGTAAAATTTTTTCACATTGTAATAACTTCATTTTAGGCCTGTATTCATCTTCCCCTCCATACTTGGACAGACGGTCTTGGATTATTTGTTAATAATCAGGTACAATATTTAGTAAGTCAGTGTTTATCAATATATCTGTCTTAACATGTAGACTTCACATAGCTGGTACCATCATTTAAAATCCAACTTTCTCTCCTCTTTTCCTCCCCTAAGGGTGAATGCAGAATTAACTTGAAGGAGCAGATTTGCTGTGATTAGGGGTCTACTCTTAGTCCTATGCAGTTTCCTTACCCTACTCATAGGTGTTGAAAGCTTTGAGTTTCTTTTCACATAAAGGTTGTTTACTTCTGATGCATTCTATCTGCAGTTGAGCTCTAGCATACATATGCTCTTCATTTTAAGTATCACAAAAAATAATTATGTTATTTATGACGCATCTTGTGCAGTCAGCTTTACCTGCAGCAACAAACAATACCAACATCTCACTGGCTTATGACAACAACCATTTCTTTATATTTGAGGACTGCTGATCAGGGACCACTCTGCTGAGCTCTGCTATGGTCTGCTGACCCATGCGCTCTCATAGAAGACAACAGAGGCTCAGGAAGGGACAGATCTATGTTGGTCCATGTCAGACTTCTTCCCAGTGACGGTATATGTCACATCTGCTCACATGTCATTGGCCACAGCAAGTCTCATAGCCAAGCTCAAATTAAAAAAGGAGGAAAACCTTCTATAATGAAGAAAGTGTTATTCTCATTCTGCCTATGTGAAAGCAGGGCAAGGTCAGGAAGGGAATAGCTAATTGTGAATAATACATGGCACTTATTAGTCAACATGAATTTATTAAATGCCCATTATCTTTTGACTCTGCTAAGATACTATATGACACACAATTAAGAAAATTAGTCCTTGTTTAGAAGTAAATTTTTAAAAAGAGAACAGTTTAAAAATGATTAAATCCTAACCAACTACTGCTTTACAATCTAGGTTGAGATGGCAATAAATATGTTAGACTATAAGTTGTTAAACAGATATTTGAAAATCCAGTCATATATATTCCTAATTAGCTCCTGAATAAGAGTGGCAAGTCTCTTTAATATGATCCTCATATAACCTCTTGGAATGTTATGGTCTAATAATTTTTTCTCTTGTGCAAAATTCTTGTGAATTGATTAAATTGACTTTAGAAGAGATCTATTTTTTTCTCACTAATTTTAAAGAAGTAATTTATGGTTTAATCCTTTAAAATAAAATTAACTCTCGATTTGGCAGCATCATTTATGCTGTTGTCAGTACCACCTTTTCCTAAGATAATTATTATCATGTGTTTCAGGAAAGATGTTAGGGTATATTTCAATGCTTTTCTTTTTTTAATCAGCATTGTTCCCTGTCTCAATAAATCTCTATTATTATACAAGTTCAATGCTACCTTTTGCGTGACAATATTTTCTGCTTCAATGTAGAGGAAAAATAAATTTAAAGTAATTACTTTCAGAAGTTTATTGTTTTATAGGACTGTTGTAAGTATATAGGATGCAAAGCATTTGTTAATGTTTGCTTGTTAAGCTCACTGAAGGTAGATGTTTATACAAGCCCAGAATTATTTTCTTTCTTCCCTGTTCCAAAGTACTTCAAGCTAATCAAGGAAATAATTCACTGGTGGCAAACTTTGGAAATTGTTTCATAAGAAATCTAGATTTAAATATGCTGTATGATTTTCATTTTAATTTAGTAAGTTAAAGGGGAAGTTTATATAAAAATGATATGCAATTTAGGATCATTTTAAAGTTGAGAACTTCATATATTTCAAGTCTTTAGATGTGAATAATTTGAGCTTGGTGTATACATTTCTTGTGACTTGCGTAACTTTTAAAACTAAAAGTTAGAATAAAATGGAAAAACATGGATTTTGCATCATTTTATATATGTGTTAAATACTTTATTTATTTATTTTTTTGGATAAGAAGAAGAGGAAAAAGAGAAGACAGATAACAGAAACTGAAGCTTTCCCATGCACACGCAGGCATGTGGAGTTGGTATCATGACACTTAATTTTCAAATGGAAAACTTTGTTTTAGTGTCGCAAGAAAGCACTGGACTAGAAGTTTAGGCTCCCCTGTTGAAAAGCAACTATATAATCAAACACTGTAAAACAGTACGGAATTGAACAAACCTTCACACCTCATCATGAAATCTGAATTTTTTTATTACTCTGAATTAATTTACTTTTCTGTTTACTTACCCATATTTTATCATCTCACACAGGATACTTTCTGATTTTTATTTTCATCTTTCTACCTCCAGAAACTCTATCTGTAGTTTAGTTTTAGTCCATCATTTTAGTGTGCATTTTAGATTTCATCTCCAAACCCTAGTTACTTCCTTAACTACCTCCTATCAATCCCCCTTTTGTTCTGTCACTATCTCCCATTTCCTTTTTTATTTGATTTTTCTGGATTGCATCTTTGATGTTTAGATGATTTTCACTTATATATCTGAACAAGGAATCATCAAATAGAAAATATTTTGTAAGAAGATACAGAGATATATGCATCATTCATTATAGGAAAAAACACGGTTACTAAAGTACTACAATTTTTGGAAAACAATTGCATCTAAAGTTATATGTATTAATTATAACTCTGATTGTCACATATTATATTGCATTATGAAATCTCAGATTTAAATATACACTTACCTAAGAAAATGTCTCGATTATGTAGTAATTTAATAACCATTTATGTTTATTGACTTCAAATAGCTTAGTACATATATATGAACATTTATTAAAAAAAGATTTAAATGAATCTGTGTTTTTGTTAAGTAAATGCTATCCTTGCTTGCATATCAGTTAATAACCTTTTGCATCTGCCTTATTTCTGATGTATGCATGCAAATTATAAACATCTACTTATGCTTTAAGATCAGGGAGGATTGATAAAATTTTATTAGCAAGTCAGATTTTAAATTTTAAAAAAGTCAAGTGCTGGTTTTGTGTTTTTTATTCTATAATTGGGGAAAGGTTCCTAGAAAATACTTCACTAAAGTTAAAATTTAGAAATCCATGGATTTTGCATTTAACTTATTAAAGGCTAATTTACTTTGAACTTCTCTTAACTAATTAAAAGCTCAGATAGAATCAGGGATGTGGAAAGTTTGGAAACATCAACTTGCATTAATTTTGTTTTCAAATATAAAGATTTTATTGTATACCCTAACTCCATGGGAGGTAAGAACATCTTCTTTCTTGCCATATTACAGTATTACTATATCTGTGCATTCAGGGCTGTCCAGGTAGTCACAGTGACTTAACTTAACCTATGGCAAGTCCTTAAATGTAACTATGTTCATTAGGACTGCTTATTTCTAACTAAGCTTGCTCTCTCTCTCTCTCTCTCTCTTTTTTTTTTTTTTTTTTTTGAGATGGAGTCTTGCAGTCTTGCTGTGTGTCACCCAGGATGGAGTGCAGTGGTGCGATCTCTGCTTACTGCAACTTCTGCCTCCCGGGTTCATGTGATTCTCCTGCCTCAGCCTCTTGAGTAGCTGAGAATACAGCCGTGCGTCACCACCCCCGGCTAATTTTTGTGTTTTTAGTGGAGACGGGGTTTCACCGTGTTAGTCAGGCTGGTCTCGAACTCCTGACCTCGTGATCCGCCCAACTCGGACTCCCAAAGTGCTGGGATTATAGGCGTGAGCCACCATGCCTGGCCAGCTTGCTCTCTTAACAGCAGGGGTGGCTTCCTGTTTTTACTAAGATCAATTTTTTTCTTTGCCTTTTCTTATTTCCTGTTCTCAATGCATTTGCTAGCTCCATTGACTTCAGCATATATGGAGGATGCCAACGTGTGTCCAAACACTGTGTGTCTCGTGTGTGTGTGTGTGTGTGCACATGCATGCACGCACACACACTTTTCACAGACTTTCAGAATGAATTATCCTAAGTGGTCAAGCAAATAGTGACTAGAAAACAACAAAAAATAATTGGTAAAATTAAAACGTGTAATTAACTGTTTTAAGCAATTCAGACTCAGAAATGTAGTTAAATAAGAACAGGAGCATTGCTTTTAACATTTTTTTAATGAAAGTAAAAATATCCATTTTGACATAAAGTGAGACTATAGCAATTTCATATAGTTGGCTATAAAATATAGTTGGAAAAGCTGATACAAGTTTTGATATTTCTTTGTTAGTTATGCGTTCCTATAAATAAGACCAATATGCACACTCAAGGCATCCCTTCAAATATTTCTTCAAAGCTTATGAAAAGTTTTGTGTGAAGACTGAAAACAAGAGAAATTATTTGGATTGATGCAATAACATCTTGTCCAGCAAGATTCTCCATTCTTTTTTCATCGTGTTCACATTGACAGTTTATATACCAGGAAGGTTTTGTTCATAAACTACTCACCACACACCACCCATTCAAGGTAGAGTAAATCCTATCGGTGAACCCAATAAAAGAGTATAGTGCTTTTACTCCAAAGAGGCCATGCCTTCTGGGAAGATATACTACTCTTTGTCATTCAACCAGGGAAGCCTTGAGATTGAATAAAATTCATTGTTGAAGCCTAAAGAAGGAAAAGCTAGTTTTTGAAAAAGTCAGGCTAAATGTTACCAAAAAATGAAATACAATTTTAAAATTGACTGCTTGGAAGTGTAAGTAAAGAGGAGAGATTTTAAAATGTAGTTAGCAATCCTCGTGTCTATATTCATTTTTATCTTTTTTCCTTTAAGAAGTTTTTGACATAGTATTTTCTGGTAAAAATACTTCCTTGCAATTGTAGCTCCCCTTGGTATACAGGACTTTTGAAAGCTGAATTTGCCCTAAAGTATTTTAGTTTGTGAAAGACAAATAGCCAAGTTATATATAATTGTGAATAAAATCTACCGTTACAATCCTTATGTTCAGTCAGTTTAGAATGGATTTCTAATTATTTATTTTTTCTTTTTACATGCACTTCTAAAATAAAGGTCTTCTGTACATACACAGTTTACTTCTATCCAACATTTTCAGAGTATTAAATGTTTTAGTTTTCCCTGGTGTGTGAAAAATAATTGTTTTTTAATGGCACTAAATCTACCCCTGGATCCCCTAGTACCTTCCGTGTTTCTCTGATTTAAAAATAAATAAATAGAACACAAAATCTTGTTCACTGCCAGATATTTAAAGAATTTTAAAAACTAGTAAGAAAGTAAAGATTTAATAACATATTGCATCCACAAGAGGAAAATACTGATAGCCTATACAAAATATGATCATACTGTTGTCTAACCTGTTGTAACACATAAAAATCTACAATGGACAGGTTTTTGTATTTTTAAAATCTAGATTTCTATAATATATATTTTAATGACTTACTATAATTTCAGTCTAGTATACACCGTAATTTATTCAACCTAACACAATTATATGAGCCTTTAGGGTTTTATTTTTGCATATTCTCTCTCTCTCTCTCATTATTTCTTCAGAATGAATTTTTAGATTTATCAATATAAAAGTGTTGGTTTAAGTAGCATTCATATTTTAAATTTCAATACAGAGGACTAAACGTTCTTTGAGAAATATTATATTCTACCAGTGTCGTATCAGTATGTTTTAGCTTTGCCAGAGTGATGGCCAAAGTATGATATTTTATATTTGATTTGATTTTTAATTCCTTATGTGCTAGTGAAATTGTAAATCTTTTAATGTTTATTAACTAATTACATATGTGTATTATTTTTCTATTCATATGCATTTGCCATTTATTATTGGATTTTTCATTTGTTTTATTATTTACTTATTTATTTATCTATTTTTAAGACGGAGTCTCGCTCTGTCACCCAGGCTGGAGTGCAGTGGCGCGGCTCACTGTAACTTGCACCTCCCGGGTTTTAGCAATTTCCTGCAATAATTATCCGTCTTTTACATACACATTTTTCTTCTTTGTCGCTTTATTTCAGAATTAATTGTCTTAAAAATGTTTTTAATTTGTATGTGTATAATTCTATCAATCATTTACTCAGTACTTTCTGGCATTAATGTCATTCTTATAAAGTATTATTCCAAATATAGACTTTTTACTCATTTGTAATCTGTAATCTCCTTTTAAAATGCATAAAATCGGGCTCTATTTCAACTTTTCAAATAGCCAGCAAATTTTAACACCATTTTTAAAATTAATATAGCCTTCCAATGGTATTAAATGCATTATTTTAGGACTTTCATATATTACCATGAATATATAAGAAAGAATCTCTGAGTACAAAATGTGCTATTATAGTTTAAAGGTGGTTTATTTTTGATAATCTAGAACCCTGGACTAAATAATATAATTAAAAATTGACACTTCATTGTAAAAGTATAAATTAAAATTTAAGTACATGTGTCTAGATTTGTAAGCCATGTTTAAAAATTTACATATTTGGGCATAGACTACTTTGGTTGATAATTTCAAGCTCTATAGATTGCTATAAGTTGAAAAATTTATGGATGATTCTGTTTCCAACCACATCATTTTGAAGAGCTAAGATAAATCCAGAATATTCAGTGGGAGACAGGGTAATGCAAAGAAGGCACTAACTCAAAAGCCTTCCACTTTATCATCATTATCAAGTTGGCGCCATACACAACACTCTGACAAGTCGGAGTACCATCCTTTCAGGTCTTTAAATAACTGCTAAGACAATGTTGATTCAGATGGCCATAGATCAGCAATGTGTATCCATTCCTTCCTTCACCCAGTCATTCATTTTTTTTCATTTAATAAATATTTATCGAGTCCCTACTTTGTGCCAAACATTGCTCCTCTAAAATGGGGATATTCCAGTGAACAAAACATTCAAAATCTCTGCCCTCATGAAATATGCAAGACAGATAGTCACCAATAAACAAGTAGCTATGTGGTATTTCTGAACAACACTGAAGATAAAAACACAGTGAGGTGGGAGAAGGGAACTATTAAGTGGACCCAGTGCACTTTGCGTAGTGGTTGGGGAAGGTGAGACATGGGGATGTTTGACTGAAGAGCATTCTAAGCAGCAGCAACAGCAAGTGGAGACAGGAACATTCAATTCTTTTTAGAGATAATACGTATATTTTTAAATAGTAAATATATTCAGAGTCGTGGAATAGCAGTGCAGTCTTAAAAGTGAATTTCAGGCCGGGCACGGTGGCTCATGCCTGTAATCCCAGCATTTGAGAGGCTGAGGTGGGCGGATCACCTGTGGTTAGGAGTTCGAGATCAGCCTGACCAACATAGTGAATCCCTGTCTCTATTAAAAACACAAAATTAGTCGGGTGTGGTGGTGCATGCCTGTAATCCCTGCTATTCGGGAGGCTGAGGCAGGAGAATCACTTGAACCTGTGAGGCAGAGGTTGTAGTGAGCCAAGATTGTGCCATTGCACTCCAGCCTAGGCAACAAGAGTGAAATTCTGTCTCAAAAAAAAAAAAAAGTGAATTTGAAAAATTATCTAGATATGGCTATTTGCTTCTGATGTAAGTTACTTAAGGCTGAAACATTTTTATGATTAGCATGGCAATTTAGCATGGACTTTTGCACAGACAGGCCTGGTCCTACTTCTTTAGCAGTCTGTGATTTATTCAAGTTACTTATTCTCTCATAAGGAACCATTCCATTCATCTCTAAAATGGGCATAATGATGATAGTTATATCATAGAGTTATTGTGGAGATTAAATTATATAATGTGCATCAAAGTGTTCAGCATAATGTTAATTACACTGTAAATTCAGTTATTATTAGATCTCATGATTTCTTAAAATAATTTCAACATCCATTTTAGATTTGGGGGTACATGTGCAGGTGTGTCACATAGGAACACTGGGTGATGCTGAGGTTTGGGGTGAAGATGACCCCGTCACCCAGGCAATGAGTATAGCCCAGATTGGCATCCCTTAGCCCTTACGCCCCTCCCTAGATCTCATTGTTTTTCATCCCTATCTTGATAATTACAGCTAAATTAATTTTCATGCTAACCTCATAAAAACCTATTAAATTATGAGCACTGTACTTCACATACTATCACTTCCTAAGTATGAGTGTCATAGTAGATCACACATGGCCCATCTGTGAAGGCCCTATTTTAAACACTCAATATTTGCTTTGCCTTTTACAGTATGATCTGCAGTTGCCAAACTCAACCCTGTTGGTTGAGTTAGCCAAGGCTACTGAACAAACACAATTTGCTGCCCTCTGTAATGGACAGTGGAGGAGGGCTTTAGAAGAAACAAGCCTTGGTGATTATCTCAAAGGACTTGCAATATAGCTGGGAGTAGCATAAGAAACATAGTGAATTTACCGAAATGGCCTCACTGATTCTTTGCAGATGGAGCATTTGTTGAGGCCTGGACACACTCATCATTTCTGGTGAACTCCACATTTTTCTGCCTTGGAGCCCTTGACCATGTCATTTGAAAATCTTCAATGCATTCTTCTCACTTTCTCTCTGTTAGTTAAAATAATACTCACGCTTGAAGACTCATCTTAAATGCTTTTTTTGTCTTTAGGTTTTCTGAGAGTTTCTTCTCTTTTTCCTTTCTCTTTCTAAAGTCACTTAAAGCTTAGTGTCATAGCTATGTATTCTAACAATAAGAAGACGACTTTTGGAGAGAGGGTTATATTTTGCTGCCTTGTTTCTGCCATGGTATCTAGAATCGGCCTTTGCATGCCAGGGTCACCTAGCACATGTCTGTGCACTAATAATGTTGGAAAGAGAGGACGCATTTGAAGTGAGTCATCAGATCTAAGGTCCTGGACTGTAAGGGAAGTTTGACCAAGACTGAAGCCGTGTTTTAAATATTAGAAAATCCTCTAACAAGCAATGAAATTAAAAATTGACTGAAATATGGAATTCTGTCTTCTGTTTTAAGAAATCAAAATGTCATAGCTGTTGTCTTTTCTAGACTTCTCTCTAATGTAATGTTAGTTACAGGTTTAATCAAGAAACTATTTTTTTTCAATTTGAAATAATAAGAAAACTTATACTTTTATTCTCCATAATTCTATGCTTCAATGTATCTTTGCCTCAGTTTCCACACTTATAAAATGGAAATAGTATTTCCATCCCAGAAGTTTCTTGAATTAAGTGAAATAATATACATAAAGTGCTCAAAAGAATTCTAGTTCATACATTATGTAATTTCTAAATGTGAGCTATTATGCTTTAGCCAGTTTAAACAACGCTTTTAAGGCACTATGTTTTTAGTATTTTAAAATATGATTCAGCTATAAATAAATAAGGGAACATGGGAATTAGGATAATGATCAGGATTTTAAAAGCAGCCTCAGCCTAGTATTCCAGGAGAAAAAAATTCCATGGTAAAACAGTGTCTATTCAAGCTTGAAAGGACAGGTGCCAATGACTTCTCCAACTCTGTGGTTCCGGTAGTTTATATCTTAATTTCTTATAACATTGAACATTAGTATTAAAAGGTCATTTATTAAAGAAAATGCTTCATCAAGAATTAAATAAAATTCAATGAATGTAAATCATATTAACAGCAATGTTTGGTGCATAGGTAGGTATCATCTATGTCAGGTAATGAATTAAGCAGGTTATTAAATCTCTGCAGGCTGGAAACAGCCTTTGTCTATCTTAACATCACCTTTTCATTAGTTCATAGGCCTGGAATCCTCACGGGGGCATCAAAAAGTTGTCAGGAGGTCTCTGAATTCTGGAGTTGGTGTCTGAATTTGTGCTTCAGGATTACGTTTCTTGACAGCTCCTCATGCATTACACAGTGGAGGGGAATGGCGGATGTGTGTGTGCTTGTGTGTGTGTGTGTGTGTTTACAGGTTTCTCAAACAAATTAGTTATGTACATTTTCTCCAGAGGTGGCATACAAATAACTTGTCAGTGAAGGGTGAAAACATGCATTTTAGGTTGCGTCAGCCATCTTGCCTCTGCATTCATAAGTGGGAAGACAAGATTGTCTGAGTTCTGATTTAATAGGTTTTTTTACCCTCATTTGAGACTACATCTCTAAGGAGCAATCATTTAATACAAACAAAACTATTTTTCTACTTTTGTGATTTATATGTGAAGATGCTTATACAGTAATCCCCTTTACCCATGGGGGATATGTTCCAAGACCCCCCATGGTTGCTTGCAAGTGTGATAGTACCTAACCTTATATATGCTGTATTTTTTCTATACACCCATGCCTACCTAGGATAAAGTTTAACTTATAAAGTAGACATAGTAAGAGATGAACAACAAGAATAAAATAGAACAAGTATAACCATACACTGTAACAAAAGTTATATGAATGTGGCCTCTCTTTCTCTCATTCAGAGTTTCTTCTTGTACCATACTTATTTTCAGACAGCAGTTGACCACTGGTAACTGAACTCGAAAAGCAAAACCAGGCCGGGCGCGGTGGCTCACGCCTGTAATCCCAGCACTTTGGGAGGCCGAGGCGGGCGGATCACCAGGTCAGGAGATCGAGACCATCCTGGCTAACACAGTGAAACCCCGTCTCTACTAAAAATACAAAAAAAAAAAAAAAAAAAAAATTTGCCGGGCGTGGTGGTGAGCACCTATAGTCCCAGCTACTCGGGAGGCTGAGGCAGGAGAATGGCGTGAACCCAGGAGGCGGAGCTT
Organism: Homo sapiens; assembly: GCF_000001405.40. Taxonomy (NCBI): domain Eukaryota; kingdom Metazoa; phylum Chordata; class Mammalia; order Primates; family Hominidae; genus Homo; species Homo sapiens. The sequence goes on along the minus strand of NC_000013.11, from coordinate 71,693,381 downwards.
GCAGTGAGCCGAGATCACACCACTGCACTCCAGCCTGGGCGACAGAGCGAGACTCTTGTCTCAAAAAAAAAAAAAAAAAAAAAAAGCAAAACAAATGGATAAGAGGGTATTATCATACCAGATTGTTGAATGTATGTGTGTGTGTATGTGGACTTACTTTACTAACTTTTAAAGTTACTTTACCAGTAATTTATGGTTATGGCTGCTTTATTTTATAAAGATTTATGCACACTCGCTGTAGTTTTTTCCTTCTTATTGCTGGTTTGCTATAATTTCTTTACAAAATGTGTCCTTCTTATATCAAAAATATGACAATAATTTTGATTAAGATTAAGATAATAAGTGATTACAGAAAAATGAGATAAAACCCAGTTGAGTAATGAATTTCCATCTTATGAATACAAATCCCTATTACAGTAAAGTATTGAAGGGGAGATGGATTCATTTTTGATTAGATTCAGATTTTGTCTATGTAGTTGATAATATAACACCAAATTGTGTTCTATTTAAATTCTTCTTAAATAAGGCATCACAAGAAAATACATTTAAAATAGGTGAACGGGCTGGGTGTGGTGGCTCACGCCTGTAATCCCAGCACTTTGGGAGGCTGAGATGGGCGGATCAAGAGGTCAGGAGTTCGAGACCAGCCTGGCCAATATGGTGAAACCCCGTCTCTACTAAAAATACAAAAATTAGCCGGGCATGGTGGTGCACGCCTGTAGTCCCAACTACTTCGGAGGCTGAGGCAGAAGAATCGCTTGAACCTGGGAGGCAGAGGTTGCGGTGAGCCAAGATTGCACCACTGCACTCCAGCCTGGGTGGTGACAGAGCAAGACTCCGTCAAAAAAAAAAAAAAAAAAAAAAAAAAAAAAAAAGGAAAGAAAAGAAAGAAAAAGAAAGGAAAGAAAGAAAGAAATAACACAGGCAAACAAATCATGATATCCTAAAGATGTTTGACTAATAATCAGTGCCTACCATCATATATCTAACACATTTCTCAAAGTCAGAAATATGCAGACAGTACAGACAGAGAAGATTTGACGTATAAAACTATTAGAGAATAATTATGTGCTGGACTGTGTGAGACTAACCATGCTAAGGATGGGGAAATGAAAACTATTTCAAGTTAGATAACTACCTGCTTTGTAAACCTTTCCCTTTGACCCAATTAAGCACCAAACATTGCTGTTAATATGATTTACATTTATTGAATTTTATTTAATACTTTATGAAGTGTTTTCTTTAATAAATGACCTTTTAATACTAATATTAGATGTTATAAGTACTCAAATTTGAGTACTTCAGCCTTCATTACAGAAGTGTATGTGTGTGTCTGTGTGTGTGTGTGTGTGTGTGTGTGTGTGTGTGTGTAATGGGGGGCTATGCCTCTATGGCTGTTTCGTTACTTAGCACCCCCTCCTCTCCTTCAGTTGACAAACTCCTGCTTGCTCATACCTCATCTTCCCTGAAGCACCCCCATGACTTTGTCCCAACAACCATGCTCTGCAACATTTACTACAGTATTTAACACGGTTTAGTGTAATTCTCTATGTATCGATGTATTTCCCAAAATAGACCATGAGCTACTTGAGGGAAGGTATAGTATTTTGTTGTTATTTCCACCACATATTAAAAGGTCAGGCACATGGACATGTTCAATTAATGTTTGTTGACTACATTAACATGCAAATCTGCTACAGTGGTAGTATTACACTGTGCTCAGGGCTTGGCATCTGAAGCCAGATTGCCATGGTTCACAACCTGACTCTATTACTTTTAATATGTGTGATATTAGGTAAGTCATTTTACTTTTACTTTCTGGGCTCAGGGCTTGGCATCTGAAGCCAGATTGCCATGGTTCACAACCTGACTCTATTACTTTTAATATGTGTGATATTAGGTAAGTCATTTTACTTTTACTTTCTGGTGTCTCAATGTCTCACCAAAAAAATAAGGATTGTAATAGTACTTATCTCAAAAGTTTGTCAAAGTATTAAAAGAGTTAGATCACATAGTGAATTTAGCACAATCCCTGGCAGTAGATAATATAATTGCAATTATTTCGTTATTTTATCTACTATTCAAAAATAAAACAAAAACATTTGGAAAAGCAGCCTTTAAAGTGTTGGAAATGGCATCTCCTACAAAGGAAAGTTGGATATTATTTTGAGATAGGAGCAATGGGTTCATATTGGGACCAAATTAACAATAACCTGAAGAAACAGAATGATGGTCGACCATTTCCACTGCAAGTTTATAAACAGGTTCTTCGCATATGCCATTGAAATGAAAGACCAAATGCATTGCTTTTGGCTCAAACAAAATATAGCCAATAGTAATTGCTGTGAATATCTTGTCATTTGAAATGTAAATTGAAAAATTACAAAAGGAAAACATTTTTATTTGTGATTATGGAGTTCATAGTTGGTGTAAAAAATTGGTTTAGATACTACTTGGGGTCTCACTTAGTCATCCAGGCTCGAGTGCAGTGGTTTGATCACAGCTCTGTGCCACCTCAAATTCCTGGGCTCAAGGGATCCTCTTGCCTCAGCCTCTTGAGTAGCTGGGACTACAGGCATGCACCACCATGCCCAGCTAATTTTTAAATTGTTTGTAGAGATGGGATCTCGCCATCTTGTCCAGGCTGGTCTTGAACTCCTGGGCTCAAGCAATCCTCCTGCCTTGGCTTCCCAAAGTGCTGAGATTATAGGCGTGAGCCACCGCACCTGGGCTTGGAATAGGTTTTAATATTAAATTTAAATTTTCTAGAATATTGTTGTGAGGTATGACAGGAGCTTTGAGAAAGAATCCAATATAGTATTAACGTTTTCCCAAACTTTAAGAAGGCCACTTACAATTGTTTCTAATTATTTCAGAATTTGTTCTTTAGGGGATTCTAGTAAGCTTTTGCACATAATTGTAAAAGAGAGGTGTTGTGGGTAGAATCATATGTGGCCTGGAAGACTTACGGGAAGAAAGGAAAACTGTAAGGTGATTAAAAGGTTAAAAATATTTAGCTTTCTAGACAAACATGCCACTAAATGAAATTTGCAAATGGTATTAACTCTGGGAGAAATCATATATGTAGATGCATAATGTATGCTATAGAAAGGTAAACATAAATAGTATTAAATTGTATATCTCTTTAAAACTTTAAGTTGCATTGAAAAGCATTTCAGTCTCACAAAATATTCCTCTGTATTTTTGTGAGTGTGGGAAAGTAATCTGTTTGATGCATTTACTTATCAAGTGGTAAGTGACTTGATTCACTTTATAAAGGGACATTTACCATGGATGTAAAGAATTCCAGTTGAGGCAAGAATATATCCATCTCCCTGATCTGATAAGGTTAGGCTCCAAAAATATATTCATTAAGTTAACATATCTTAAACTAAGTTTAATATAATACTTAATATATTCTAAGATTAGTATAACTAATATACATAATGGATTTTAAATATCTTCTTAACTTAGACCTTATGTATATTCTAAAAAAGGGGAAGAGGACTTAGAAGCTTTAGGGGCGAGGGCGAGGGCGAGATTATCCCAACTACCTACGACAGGAACTCTCTTTAGTATTTTAGGCTGTCATTAATTTTTAACACTTAATATACAAATGCTTAAGAGTGGCTTAGTTACATTCCAATGTGTTTTAATTCTTTCTTTGGGGGTAATTCCTTATTCAGTATGTAGTAGCTCCAACTGAGCTGGAGACTTCAGATATTTTGTCTTTGGCTTTTTAAACAGGTTTTATATTAAATAAATTTCTTGTACTATTTTGGTTGTATACAGTGTGACTTTTGAGGTCAGAGGCCACAATAATTTATCCTCACCAGAGTAGCTAATTTTAACTTCTGTTTATTTTTTGTTAACGATGCTTTTAGTTTACTGATATTAATTTTTTTGATAATGGTGAACTCTTGCATTTCCTCTGGTAGAGAGTAAAATGTTTCAAGTTAGATGATCACCTGCTTTGTAAACCTTTCCCTTTGACCCAATTATTTCTTACATTGCTCAGTATTCAACTTTTACAGAATTTGGTCAAATATGTATGCAGTAATATTAATAGATAATGGTAACCAAAATGATGAGGACATATTGGTGTGATGTAAGGGTAAAGCCCCCCATTCTGGCATCCGGTGGAATATGTGAATTGCTGTTTTCCTAACTTTTGGGGAATAATTCTCATGTGCCCTATGACATATAGAACATGGTTTGGTACTGTTGAGAGATGAGAAATTTTCATAATTCAAATGTAAATCATACCATTGATTATATCACATTTGTTTAGAGCACAAGTCTTTAAACAAACAACAAACAAACAAACTCACTAGCAATGGCAGGTTTCATGGTGAACTAAGTTTAGTAAATGCCTATGTTACCCCATTCTTGGAAATTTGTAATGCATATTAATATAGTGAAAACTCTGATAACTTGCCCCAGTAAACAAAATTAAAAACTTCAGGAATCTGTCAAGTTCTTCCACAAAACATACATATGCTTAGTAGTTTAATTTGAACACAGAATCTTTTAATTAAAATATACTTTAACTTTTTCCCCAGGGAACATTTGTATTTTGCATATTTGTGTATGTATTTATTCATTTGGTGTACTGAATTACCTGCCATGTTAATAGTTGAGAGAGTGCTTTTGTGCTTGTGAGCCAATAAGCTGAAAGTGTTCACAAGGTGTCCACTGGTGATATTTGTAAGCAGGTGCCCCATGGACCTCTGTATTTTGGTGAGTGTGGGAAAGTAATCTGTTTGATGCATTAGTTCATAGTCTGTTTGTACTGAGAAGTGCACATGACTGGGACACACAACTACACAGAGAACACTAAAAGTCCAAACAAATGTGGAACGTGAGAATGAAAATATGTTCACATTAGTCACCATTTTAAAAAGTGTATCCCTCAAAGCTTTACGAGCAATAGGAAAAAATTTGCATTAGAAGGGAAAATAATGTTAATCATATAGCTTCTGGATGATTTGGATTGTTGCCTCTCAGGAAACTGAAAAAAGGAAAAGTTCAACTAACAAGTTAACAACATCTTTCTAAGGGAAAACTATGCATTGATAAACTGAGGATTCCAAATCAGCCGCTTCTTTTGGCGAAATATTGATATACATACATTAATCTTAGGAAGTCCTTTATATCCTTTTGTGCTGTTGGGTCTATTTCCTGAGGTTTATTTAATCTAGACGATGTCAGTGATTATTTGTGCTTTTCATAGTTTATAGTTCTCACAAGGATAATATTTTTGTTTATAATCATCTGCTTTTTAGCAGATATTTTAGAACTCAAATGGAAAGGAAAGATTAAAAGGACAATTATATGTGGTTAATTATATGAGATAGAGGCAAACTTCAGGCACTAATAAAGTTTAGCTAGGGTCATGATTTGTCCACAATGAAGTCTCTGAAAAATATGATCCAAGTTGTTGAAGTCAAATTAGTTTTAAAAGTTTGTTTTATGTTGGGGTGCGGTGGCTCACACTGTAATTCCAATGCTTTGGGAGGCTGAAGCGGGTGGATAGCTTGAGCCCAGGAATTCGAGACCAGCCTGGGCAATATGGTGAAACTCGCTCTTTACAAAAAGTACAAAAATCACCTAGGCATAGTGGTGTGTGCCTGTAGTCCCAGCTACTCAGGAGGCTGAGCGGGGAGGATCACCTGAGCCCAAGGAGGTTGAGGACGCAGTGAGCTGTGATCACATCACGGCACTCCAACCTGAGCAACAGAGTGAGACCTTGTGTCAAAAAACAAAAATTTGTTTTTATGTTTTAAACATAATGTATGTTTATGACAGAGAAACGAAAATCTTCATATGTAAAAAAAAGTAACTCTCCATTCAGAGTTCAAAGATAAGCATTCAGTATTTTAGCATATTTCCTTTCAGTCTTTTTTTCTATGTATTTATTGCTTCCTTTACTTGATTTCTGTCTCATGTGCTCTGATACGCCCATATCTGCAGGTTTGTATCTTACTTTTTCATGTTACTTAGAAAGTAAGCATTCCTGTATGTTACCATAAACTTATAAACATGACTCTTCATGATTCCATAATGTTCAAGTGGCTATGCAAATCATTAAGCAAATTGTAACTTTCCCATCAGAAATAAATTATTTATATGTGTATATATATAAAATGTATAATATAAACATACATACATATATAAAGTTTACAAACCTCTTGGTTTTGTAGGAGCAGTTTCCTAGAAAAAAATATGCAGAATATAACCACAGAGTTGGAACTTTCCTTGCGTAAATAGATCGGAGAGGGCCAATGAACTCTTGCAGATCAGCAGAGCAAGTTGCTTTCACTCGTAAATGCTTGTTTGTGTCCCAGGATTAATCTCAGTGCTCATTTGCTGCCATGTATCCTTCTGCTGCACTTACCCCACAGATTATTTAATTTTATTGTCCTTCTTATAGAAGGGCTTGTGTCTTTATTATTGAAACCCTAATGTCTAGCCCTGTGCTTATATACAGTAGCTCTTTTCTCTTGAATAAATGAATGAATGAATGAATGGTTGAATGGAACTTTTCTTTCCTTTCTCCAGGCAGGTAGGATTTGGACTTAAAATTTCTGCTGGGCAGCTACTTTCACATTTTCCAATGTGTAGACACCACAGTTTTTGTTTTTGTTTTTCTGAATTTTATTTGTTTCTCTGCCCCAACTCTTAGAAAGAGAATTAAGCTTAATTTCTCAAAAACTACTGAAGAGATTAACAAAAGATGATGTCCACAAAGAAGATTGGATATTGAAAATTCTATAAAGTACTCTAACATCTCTTGCTCTTTTGCACTAAGCTTCTTATTAATTACTATCACTTTTGTTAAGTTCAATTTTGACTTCACCTTAAATAAAAACAATAAATGGACCTGGAAAAGTTAGTAAACATTATACAGTTGTAGGAGAGAGACTGAAATTAGCATGAGATTGATTTAGTGTTATAAACTAAGGAAAGAAGACCCCCCTGGCGATCTGTCTGTGTGTGGCGGGTTGGGAATGGGAGTGGGTGGGAAAGCTTTTTATTTAGAACTGCAGGAGAAAGTGTGCTTGGGTGAGTTCCCTAGTGTTTGGGATATTAAATGTGGATGTGGACATCTCTAAGCTATTGCTTTCCTCTTTTAATGCAGATGTTTGAAAATACTAAAGCCTGTACTAAGGCTAATGCATGAAGCTGGCAAAAACAATTACCAAAATCATAAATTGTGATTTTATTCAAGCTATTAAGTGTAATTATTTAAGTGAGGTCTTCCGTTTGATTAGAGCTAGGAGAGTTCAGCTTGCTCTAATCCTCTGGGATAGAAATGGGTCGCTCTTATAGAAAATGATGGGTTGATAGTGGCTACTATTGAGATAATTGAACATTCCAGAAGAAAATGCTTTTTTCATTGTTTCGCTTCCTCTTTTCAGTTAAGTTTTTGTTTTTCTAAGTATTTTCTTTTTAAGAATAACTTATTTCTAACAAAGATACAAAACACTTCTTAAAGAAATCCTGATTTAATCAAGTTTTCTAAGTTAGGTAGCTTGGTCAAGTCTACACCTTCTAGTAAATTGGTAGAGCCAGTATCACAGCTGGATCAATCCAGGCAATAAAATCTGTGATTTTGGCCAGAGTATTACTCATGTTCTCTTGGAGGTTCCCTAAAATGCCTTTGAAAGAAATTTAAATATTCAATTATTTTACAGTTATCTTCCCTGAAGTATTCAAATCCCCTAGGAGTTAATGACCAGGATTGCATAAGGATAAAATATCAAGCCTGTCAATAAGGGAACCTAACTGTAGGTTGTGAAGGGATAGAGAAAAGTCTTGTTAATAAATAAATTTTCCAACTTCTCCTCAGCCAAGAAGTTGGGAATAACTCCAACGAGAGGTTCATAGTTGTTGTCCTGTTCTTAGGCAAAAGAATAAGTGATTTACTTGTCCCTACAAGTATTTTCTTTCAGTCCCTTTCATTCTTCGCAAAGGCATCTCACCTAATTGAAAGTAGTCCCCAGTAGGGTGTTAGCTGATGGCTTTAGGGTGTTACCACCACCAAGAGTATTTGCATTTTAATGAAAGGTTTTAAAAGAACTTAAAGCTTAAAGACTGAAAGCAATAAATCTCTATTGGTGGAATTTGAGGCAATGTGATAGATTGGGCAGGAGATATCTGTGGTGAAAGGAGCCCACCGGGTCTATTCTAATCACAGCGTGAATTAAAGTGTTCCTACTTAGTAGCCTCACTTCTACTTCCAGAGTGAGGGCTGTGGGGACAATTCCTGTGGCCAGAATAATAAAGTACTCCTAAGTAGTTTGATTTTCTTTAAAATCAAAACAAGTTAAAGGGCTATACATTTCAAATCTTTTAACTTCCTTGTTCTTTCCCACTTTTTCTGTAGCATCTTGCTTGAGATTTCCCAAACCCTCTATTCTATTTTCTCTGGGCTTGAGAAGTATATTTAGCATTACGTTTCAAGTTAGAGTTTCAAACTCATTCTGTGCCTTACTTTTCATTTCTTGGAAACTTTATGACCCTGGAATTGATAAGGTAGTATACTTGAAGGATTTGGGAGAAATGGCTTTACGAATAGGGTTATTATTATTATTTTTATTATTTTACTACATAGAGTGAACCAGACACTGAGCTACATTTTAAGGACACACAGATATATTTTGTGCAATTTCTGTCAAGTAGCCTTGGGAGATAAGCAAATAATCCGATTATTGCAATCAGTGCAGGAAGAATTATAGGTTCCCCATGCTCTATCGTAGAGCACAGAAAAAATACTAACTAGAAGTGGTTGGTAAGAAGGATGATTAAAGTTTAGGCAGGTTTAGTCAGATAAAACAGGAATGAGGATTGGTTGGCATAGAAAAGGGCTTTGATGGCAAAGGAGGCAGCATCTTTAAAGACAGTGTAATAGGAGACCAGAGCCACTCAGGAAACTGTTAAGAAACTGAGTAGGGCCAAATATAAGCTATGAATGTAGGAATAAAGTGTTGAAATTGGAAAAGCCGTCAGGGACCAAATATTGAAATGGCTTTGATGCCATTTCAAGGATTGTGAATCCAGTAGGGAACCACTGATATCTTTAAGCAAATGGAAAGCAAGGTCAAATTTGCATTTTATAAAAATCCTTCTGGAATTAGCATGGAGAGTTGTTTAGACTCTGGACTCTAGACTCTGGAGTGGGACAAAATTGAATGTGTGTCTTGGAAGAGTTTGGAAAGCTGTAACCATGTATCAAGAAATGAGGGATTGATCTGGAAGGTAGGAGTGGGGATATAGAAGAGAAAATAGATTAGAAAGGTAACCTCAGAAAGATAATATTTGAGTATATAAAAGAAGGAAAAGACACAAGTGACTCCTGGATTTTTGGCTTAGTCGGTTGGATTCCATTTCGCTGAACCAGGGGAAAGCAAAATAGGTATTAATGGGATAGATGCTGAGTTCAGATTTAGACAAGCTGAGTCTTAGATTATTATAGAACATCCGAGCAGAGATTTCCAGCACATAAGCATTCATCTGTCTGAATCCCAGGAGAAAGATATGGGCTATAGATATATATTTAGCCCTTAGCCCTTAGCATCTAAGTGATGCTAATAGAAGAGATCACTCAAGGAAAATGGATACTATCAGAGGGCTGTTGATTGACCACAGACAACTAAACAAGAGTTAAAAAGCCAACTGAGAATGAGCAGCAATCATGAGAAAGTAATAATAAGAGGAAGTAGCTTGAGGGATACTTCAAGAACAATAAGCACGACAATATCCCTATGGGTTAAGAAAACACAAAGACAAGCAAACAGTCTTGCTCGTTTTCCAACATCCTCCAGGATCTAGCCCTAGGCAATAACTCTGAAAGTCTCAATCACTGCTCCTCTTCCTATTTGACTTGTTTCAGCTCATTTGAAACAATCCTGTATATCCATACATTTTTCATGGTTTCATTTATTTCTCACATTCTCACTGGAGTGTAATTTTCTTTTATTCTTTTCTTCTCCATGGTTAATTCTTCTTCAGAATTGTCTTCTAATGTTCCCGCTGCCTTCTTCCTTCCTATGACATGGTAGTATCATCATCCATCCTAACTTCCAATTAGTATTCAGATTGCAACTTTCTTATGGGATTTAGCACTTTACAATTTGCATCATAGTTGTTTATGCACCAGATTCTTCCCCTTTGGCAAGAATACAAACTTCTGAAGTCTAAGAACCCGTTCTCCTAAATTAGCCTCCATAGTGCACCTCTTTGAAAACAGCAGGTACTTAATAATTATTTGCTCAATGACCACAAACATTACCTACCTAAATTAAATAGATAACATCTTTGAATCTTCTGATAAGTCTAGGGATCTCAGCCAAGGCAAAACATGAAAATGCTTATTTATGAGGTTATATCTGTTAGTTTTGAAATATCTAGGCACGTTTTGGCCAAATAAATGATGGGAGAGCATTTCATAAAGCACATTTATGATACAGAGGCAGAAAGTGAAAACACAATGCTAAAACTTTGTTTTCAAAAATTGTAATATTATATACTTTAGGTTGTTTTCCATTAATGATTGCCAATAGCTGTCTCTACCTCTGCTTATAACTGTAATAATTAATCTTGTGCAATAGGCATGTAAAGTACAGTACTGCTAAAACACAAGGTATTTTTATTTATCCTAAAGGTACATATGAGATGCTACACTGGCAGTTCCTTAATGATACCCTACAAATAATCCTAAGCCTTTCAAGTATATTTTAGTATATTAAAAGTAAGGGAACTTAGTGGGGGATGTTCACTTAAATAGAATAAGGGTTAAATGATAACTTGACTTATCTTTTAAATGACAAAAAATAAAGAAATTGCAAGACCTTTTCACACATTAGATATGTATTGTCATTTATCATCTAGATATCAGGCTAGCAGTGCGAAGTAATAAAACATATCATCGAAAAATGTGCTATAGGTCTGAATCACTCTTTCATTCCACCTCCCAGCTAACTGTAGTATTAAATCAAACAAGCAGAACATTTCCTTAGGCAGCCATTGCCTTTTAATTTCCTGAAGAACCTTAAAATATCATTCATTACAAGTACTACACATATTTGGTTTTTAAAACTCTCATAAATCAATAGCAGGCTGACTGTAATAATTATTACAAGTTAGTGCATAATTTTCGTGCTGAAGGCTGCATGCAGAACTTTAGCATATGCAAACGAGGCAATTCAAACTGTGTATAGATATTAATATGAAGAAGCAGGTAACGAGGTGCAGGCTATGAATTATGCATCAGGAGTGGCTGATCTTCAATGAGGAAAATGAATTCAGCATGTAATCTAATTAGTGATGGAAGTCTATTACATCTAACTGCAAAAGCAACCGTCCTTGAAACAAATTTATTTACAGTCCATGTTACCACTTGAAACAACTTTGAAATGATGTGTAAGACAATAGCTTAATTGTAAAAATTTTTTGTTTGTTTGTTTCAGTTCTAGACCTGGAAGGCCTCCTAAGAGGACTCAAAGTGTCACCTCCCCAGAGAACTCTCACATCATGCCGCATTCTGTCCCTGGTCTCATGTCTCCTGGGATAATTCCACCAACAGGTAAGACTGCTACTCACTTATGCCAAAAAATATTAAAAATCAGCCAATGTCGTAGCTTTTATATATATCTGTGGTGACATCGATATTTACACACATCAATTATATTTTGTGCACACTAAGATAATGTTACTGAGATAATTTATTTCAAAACTGCATTATGATTACCATCTTTTCTTTATTTAAAATAAAATAAAAGCTGAACTGAGCACAGTGCTAGAAATTATTTTAATTAATCCTACCACAAATATCAAACATCAAATTATTATTCCTATTTTCTTATTAAGGAATCAAAGTTCAGAGAAAATCAGTGACTTTCTCAAGGTCACTCAGCTGTAGCTGTCAGTGGTTATTCAAACCCAAGTCTTTGGATTTTAAACTTGTTTAGCATTCCAGAAATTGATAGACATGCATCCAAACAAAAGACAGTAACTGTATTGAATAGAAATGTCTCGTAATTTTTCACAAACTAATACGTTTCTATTAGAACCCATTTGAAAGATGTTTATTTCTAGAATTTTGAAAATGTATAAGTAAAAGAATAGTCTTGACTTCATAAGCTCCATACCATAAAGAAATTTCATAATGCACTGGAGCAAAATTAATTCGTTTGATTTCTACCCCCTGAATGGGTTCATTAATTAGATTATTTACATAAACATATGTTTGCCCATCTTTATTGTTTCATCAGGAAATGAGCCAGATCCATGAGCAAATTGAAATATTGCTGATATTATTATATAATATAGAATATTTATATTAATGTTTTTTCTTTATCATATGTCTATTAAGGAAATATACATAGGAACATATAAATGTCATGTATTATAATACAGCTGATACAAGAAAGGTAATCAGGCAAGATGAGAGTTTTTCTTTTTTCTCTAAATTCCTGTATCAGTATTGTATTTTTCTTTGTAACATTTGTCTTTCTGTGTGCTCTGATATAATCATGGATTAATCTTATTTCATATGTCATAATTGGGTGGAAGTTTCTTGACATCAATGACTGTCTCTAACTCATCTTCATTTTTGCAGTAATGTCTAAACAGTTCATTCACCTTTGTGGATATTTAACAAAAATCATTGAGTTTAATTTGTAGCTATTTCGGCTATTTGTTCATTTTATATATTTAATATTTTTTTCAGCAAGGCCTCAATAATTTTAATTTTAATTTTAATTTTTGTTTTTAAGACAAAGAGTCTCCCTCTATTACCTGGGCTGTAATGCAGTCGCTCAGTCGTGGCTCACTGCAGCCTGGACCTCCTGAGCTCAAGAGATCCTCCCACCTCAGCCTTCTGAGTAGCTATAACTACAGGCACAGGCCACCATGCCTGGCTAATTTTTGTATTTTTTTTCTAGAGATGGGGTTTCTTCATGTTGCCCTGTCTGGTCTTGAACACTTGGACTCAAGTGACCCATCTGCCTTGGCCTTCCAAAGTTCCTGGATTACGGGCATGAGCCACCATACCCAGCCACCAAAGGTTTTTAATAGTAAATAATTGAAAATTCCATGAAAATATTTTTATACTAATTTCATGCATGAAAAATTGAGATATAGAAAAATGAAATCAATAGCTGAAAACTGCCCAATTTCAAGGCAACTATCGTCATTTTACTTTATTTAATCATGTTTTTCAAGTAACTGAATCCTACTGCCTGATATTCTAATTCCAATTTGAGATTTGGAAAAATCAAATAGGTAGTACGTTGTTAATCCTTGCTCATTTATGTTTAACTGAATGATAAAGATTTCTGTTTAGAAAATTTGGGACTTGGGAATTACATAGGAAAATCTTTTATACTACATATGAAAATCTTAACTTCTCTTTTCCGTTTTTTTTTTTTTTTTTTTGAGACGGAGTCTCGCTCTGTCACCAGGCTGGAGTGCAGTGGCGCGATCTTGGCTGCCTTAGCCTCTGGAGTAGGTGGGATCACGGGCATGTGCCACTACGCCCGAATTTTTTTTGTATTTTAGTAGAGACGGAGTTTCACCATGTTGGCCAGGATGGTCTCGATCTCCTGACCTCATGATCCATCCGCCTCGGCCTCCCAAAGTGCTGGGATTATAGGCGTGAGCCACTGCGCCTGGCCAACTTTTCATGTTTTATAGCTGAAAGACTCAAGTGTGAAATAAAAAAGACCTCAGAGTCTTTGTGACATAATTAATCTCTCAATGAACCATGTTTCTGATGTTTTTTTTTTAAATAACCATTTTAATAATCATTTTTTCTGTATTTAGTAAACTTGTGTTGACTCTGAATTGTTACTTTCTCACAGTTATAAGAGAAAAAATGTATCCTAGATTGTATTCATATTATAATAGGGAAGATTTGTCTGCCCATATTTAATCTTTTAAGATGAAGATGATACATAGTTCATTACCAAAGTAATGATTAAATAAGATGATACCATGAAAATGTAAATAGCAACACCTCACATAATTAACACCATCAAGTAACTTTCGGGTAAGTAAGTGGAGTTTCTAAATAAAGGAAGGTCATATTCCAAAGTCCCAACTCAAAATATTAAATTATTTTTTGAAAGAACTCTTTCTGAAATGTATTATGCACTTGCCGGCTTGGTGAACAGAGACACCGAAGATACTTTAAATTTGGTCTTTCATTTTTAAAGTACGATCATTTTCTGTATTTCAATCACTGTGCCTTCTCAGACATTCTACTTTTGTTCTTTCCTATATGTTTTGAACCCAGAAACCAGGACTTCTGTCAAGCTAAGCATTATATCGAAAAAAGACCTTAAACAGCCATGTTCTAAAGAAGAATGAGGAAATGGAGGCTCATTAGGAGCATAAACTGGATTAGAAAGGGGATGTTAGGCTGGGCCCGGGGTTCAGGCCTACAATCCCAGCACTTGGAGAGCCTGAGGCAGGAGGATTGCTTGAAGCTAGGAGTTCCAGACCAGCCTGGGCAACATAGCAAGGTTTAGTCTCTACCAAAAATCAAAACAATTTGGCTGTGTGTGGTGGCCTGTGCCTGTAGTCCCAGCTACTGGGGTGGTTGAGGCAGGAGGATCACTTGAACCTGGGAGATCCAGGTTTGTGGTGAGCTATGATTGTACCACTGCATTCAAGCCTGGGCAACAGAAAGAGACCCTGTCTGAAAGAAAAAAAAGAAAGAAGGAAAGAGAGAGAAAGGAAGAAAAAAAGAAGGAAGGAAGGAAGAAGGGAGGGAGGGAGGGAGGCAGGGAGCGAGTTAGTTTAGTGCCCTGTAGACCTCAGCAAACTGCTTTAGAACAGGGTGTGTGAGCCAGCTCACTACTATTTTGCTTACTTTCAACTTTCAAACATTAGTCCAAAGATTTTAGGTTGCCAGAAGTTTGACTATTGCACATGAATGGCGTTACCTTCATATATTCAGTATGATTTCTCTTTTTATGTAAAATTTTTCTAGATGCAGAAGTTTAGATTTTAGGGAATACAGAGTAATGCCTTCATATACTGGGGAACATATCTTTACTGTCTTAAAACATTAACTGGAAATCTAATGATCCTAAATACATTTTATAATTCTCAAGAAGTATATAACATCTTTCTCCCACAACAGTCTACCGAATGCTTTAGTGTATTTGGGGAATATGACTAAATATGATCATATAGACTTTTAAATTTGCAGGACTTTATTTATGTACTTTTGTATTCTGAGAAGTAACATTTGAAAACGATAAAAAGATGTAAATATATCTTCAAGGTTGCCTAACTTTGTCCTGTGAAAAGAAAATGGATTAATTTAGACAAATTTATAAATACCTATTGATCGGCTAGGGGGCGGTGGCTGATGCCTGTAATCTCAGCACTTTGGGAGGCTGAGACAGGCGGATCATGAGGTCAAGAGATCTAGACCATCCTGGCCAACATGGTGAAACCCCATCTCTACTAAAAATACAAAAATTAGCTGGACATGGTGGTGGGCGCCTGTAATCCCAAGTATTTGGGATGCTGAGGCAGGAGAATCGCTTGAACTCGGGAGGCAAAGTTTGCAGTGAGCCGAGATCGCACCACTGCACTCCAGCCTGACAACAGAGTGAGACTCTGTCTCAAAAACAAAACAAAACAAAAAACCAAACAAACAACACCTATTGATTCAGTCCTAATCACTTTTATTGTTTCTTTTCAAGAATTGAACATTGGAGTTAAATAATAGTTTTCCCTGGATGCATTTGTTTTCTTAGGAAAAAAAAGACTTTTTTTAAAAAAAATGTATTTTCCCAGTCTTAATATTAAGTATTTAGGTATCTATACTTGAAACAAAAACAAAAACAAATACAAAACAAAACAACAAACTTTGAGATTGCTTGTGGAATTTTTATGTGTTATTTTGGCTGCTTGAGTGGGCTTGTGTGTAACCTTAGAAGGGGTGTGGGCAGATGGTGATAATTTCTAAAAGTTATGGTTGTCACCGGATGCCATAGCAACCAGAAGTTGAAGTTAATGAAAGAAAGAAAGTTCTTTGTAGAGTCACACAAGGCAATACCTCCTGCTGTGGTCACTGCATTTATTTTGACTGAGCACTTGTCATAAATCATTTTTGATAATAACTACCAGTTTGAAATAATTCATCCTAGCAACAGACTTCCAATAACATTCATACTTTTTATAAGATGACGTCTATTTAAAATTAAGAAAGGGGTTATTTAGGAATTCAAAATACTCCCCTCTTGTCCAGGAATGCAATTTGGATAGTGTATTTGCCAACTTTCTGATTTCATCTTTAAGTCAGTATGCAAATTAATTTTGAAATACAATTTTCATAAAAATACTAAGAATTAATTGAGTCCTCAGTATTTGCCTTTGACATATAAAAATTATTTAGTATCTTAAAAATACACTCAAATTAAATGAATGAATGATTTGTAGTTTTGTCTGTTGGATATGTCTTTTCCCTCACTGTGATCTTGTAGACATATAACTAATACGTATTCAGGTAAAGAAAGCAATTCTACACACATACCTTATGCTTAAAAGGTAAGAATTTATAACTTGCAAATTTATCGTTTTGGAAAAAATACTGGACCGGGGCAATATTAATCTAGAATTAATCCCATTGAAACATTCTTATCTTTAAAAAAATTTAGAGAAAAATGTTCTCATGTAGTGAATTCATAAACATATTTCAAATTTAATTTTCTTTTTTTCTACTAAATAGTAAACAGCAACAATATCTAAACAACCTCTTTTGTAATATTAGCATTTGTAATAGTTTAAATGCATTAAACATTTCAACTTCTCAGGAGAAAATTTACAATGTAAAACTGTGCCTAGGCTGGGCACGTGGCTCATGCCTGTAATCCCAGAAATTTGGGGGGCCGAGGCGGGTGGATCACCTGAGGTCAGGAGTTCGAGACCAGCCTGGCCAACATGGTGAAACCCCATCTCTACTAAAAATACAAAAATTAGCTGGGCATGGTGGCAGGTGCCTGTAATTCCAGCTACTCGGGAGGCTGAGGCAGGAGAATCGCCTGAACTCGGAAAGAGGAGGTTACAGTGAGCCAAGATCACACCATTGCACTCAAGTCTGGACAAGAGAACAACACTCCATCTCAACAAAAAAAAAATTGTGCCTTGTATGTTGAGAAGTTTATTATAATAAATGCTCTGTATTTCATTGGGATACTCACAAGTAAGGAGAACACAAAAATGCACAAGTATAAAACAGCCGCAAATTGTTGGATTGTCTTCACTAATAAATTAAACATAACAATCTACTGTATGCCTTACCCAAAGAATAAATCTCATATTTACTATTTAAACACTTGATGTTTATACAATGTTTGTATTTTTTTTATAGTTTAATGTATTTTAATAGCAAACTTACAGGAACAGCACAGAAGACAGACAACATTAAAAACATGTACTTGCATGTAGTACAACTCAGAAAAGTATAGTGAATGGATGGAATCTACTGTATGATAAAAATGCTACAAACACCATTTAGTTGCCGTCAATAAGAAGTTTACTTGTTTTAAAAAAATCCAAATGCTGGCATTGTCCAGAAAAATTTAACAGGTTTATTTATGATTATTATAAAGTTGAACCGCTGAAACTTGTTCACTGAAACATTTTAACTTGCATTAATGCTTTACGTCTCCACATTTATATTAAAAATTCACACACAAATGAAAACGGAAAAACTGCCAATACCTGATTTCTGTCCCCTATTTTTCCACTCGCAATCATAGACTTAGGTACCTTTTGACCCCATGGAAAAAAAATATCTAACGTTCAGAACTACCAATAACAGGAAGAAGAGAAAAAAAAAAATTTTTTTTTTGAGAATGAAATGTTTCCCATCATAGTGGATTCTTAAGCACGTTCTCCACGTATGCGGCGTGCTAGCTGGATGTCTTTTGGCATAATTGTTACACGTTTGGCATGGATAGCACACAGGTTGGTGTCTTCAAAAAGGCCAACCAGATAGGCCTCACTTGCCTCCTGCAAAGCACCGATAGCTGCGCTCTGGAAGCGCAGATCTGTTTTAAAGTACTGAGCAATTTCTCGCACCAGACTCTGGAAGGGAAGTCTGCGAATCAGAAGTTCAGTGGACTTCTGATAACGTCTAACTTCACGGAGCGCCACAGTACCAGGCCTGTTACGATGAGGTTTCTTCACCCCTCCAGTAGAGGGCGCACTCTTGCGAGCGGCTTTTGTAGCCAGTTACTTCCTGGGTGCTTTACCACCGGTCGATTTGCGGGCAGTCTGCTTTGTACGAGCCGTGGTACAGAGACCTCCTTACTTACCCCCCTTCTCTTCGGCTGGAGCTCGGCGAGCGAGAGGCGGCGCTGGCGTTGGAGAGCGACGGCAGCGCGGTGGCGGCTGCGAACACCGTTTGTATGTGTTTTCATATATTTATATATCTAGGAAATATTTGAGAGGTTTGATACTAGACATTTTGTTGAGGATAGCACATTTAACCTATAACTACTTAGTACATGTTCCCTTTGTACTTTTCTTGAAGAGAAAAATTAAAGGGTATGTCTTCTTTTTTTTTTCCTTTTTGTAAGGCCCACCTAAACTTTAGACTTCATCATGCAATTTATTAGTTTCCTGTGCCTGCCGTAACAAATTACCACAAGCTTAGTGGCAAAACCACAATTTATACTTGCAGAGTTATGGAGGTTGCGAGTCCAAAATCAGCATCACTGGGCTGAAATCATGGTGTCAGCAGGGTACCCCCTCTGGAGGCTCTAGGGGAGAATCCAGTCCTTTCCTCTTTGAGCTTCTGGGAGCTGCAGGCATTTCTTGGTTTTGTGGCTGCCTGGCTCCAATTTCTGACTCTGTGGTAATGTCGCCTTCGTGTGTGTGTGTGTGTGTGTGTGTGTGTGTGTGTGTGTGTGTGTAAAATCTCCCTCTGACTCTCTTTTAAGGACACTTGTGATTGTATTTAGGCTACATTAGATAATACAGGATAATCTGTCTTAAGATCCTTAATATAATCACATCTACAAATAATTTTTTTAAATATATAAAGTAGCATTCACACATTTCCTGGATTAGGACATGGGCTTAATTTTGGAGGCCATTGGCAGCCTACGACATCCAGCAAGTCACTAGGCTAAGTATTATGAGAAGTCCAGGTGGGGTATGGTAGATATGCACACAGAAGATTTTGGCCTATTTTATTCACTTTGGTATCACTGGTGTGTAGAATATTGCCTGGCACAGAGCAGATATTCAAACTAAATATTTGTTCAATGAATATGGCTAATAAATGTTTAGTAAAGGATTTCTGAGAGAAATTATTATGCCTTACAATTACAAATTTAAACACTGGTGTGTTAATGTAGCTTCTAAAATCCCATTAAGCACAGTTAGGCTCCAGATTAAAGATGCAGCGTGTAGAGCCTAATGGAAGTATACTAAGTGTATGGAAGGCATTATTTGTTTGTTTATAGGTTATGATGGTTACATTTAAGCATAATCATCAATTGATGGAATTTAAATCTCTAAATTGATGCTCTAGAGAAGTGACATTTATAGAAATAACATAGTAGCATGGAACATATTACTCTTTTTTTATTATTATACTTTAAGTTCTGGGGTACATGTGCAGAACGTGCCGGTTTGTTACATAGGTATACACGTGCCATGGTGGTTTGCTGCACCCATTAACCTGTCATCTACATTAGGTATTTCTCCTAATGCATTCTCTCCCCCAGCCCCACACCCCCCAACAGGCACCGGTGTGTGGTGTCCCCCACCCACCCCGTGTCCATGGGAACATATTACTCTTTACAATTCCTGCATATACAGGTATATATAACTACATTTGTACTATATTATATAATCCTTTAAGATTAGAATTTTCATTGTACCTCCAGTATCTTGATATATAATTTAATACATATAAATAAAATATATTTCTTAAGTTAACTGAATGTAAATATAGCTCTTGTTATGATGAACTACAGAAGAAATATATTTACTTCTTTTTCCTATGTAACATGTTAAAACAGAGTACTTCTGTTAAATCACAATATACCCTGGGTCTGTTACTAGCATAGATATTCATAAAAATCATTTCTTTCTTATCTCTTAGAGCAATGATCTATTATTTTTAGACTTAATTAAATAACCACATATTACTAGACTTCTGGACAGTCCTCTCATCTACTTAATTTAGAAGAAAATTACCATACTTTCTTCCCTAATTTATTTCTCTCTTCCAGGTTTCTATTGAGTTCTGTAGTCTCTTTTCCTACACTGGTCTGCACTAAGAATTACAATCTGCTTATACTTCTCTCTCAGTAGATTTCCCATAATGAAGTTGCTAATGTCCTTAATTGAGTAACTGCAAGGTATTATTTGCTTCCTTTTAGTAATATGATGCCCCCTTTGACAAGAGAAGTTTACTTACATTAAGAAAAGCAAATCAGATTTTCAGAGTCAACTTTTGATTATGACAGTGGACATTGTATAGATTACCTGGAGCTTTGTAGCTTCACAGATATCCATTTATTTGTGAAATTCTTAGTGTTCTAATCCCTTGGTTACATTGTGGATGTGCCACATGTTGTCTTTTATTGCTCGCTATAATTTTTTAACCAGTAGGAGGTGCAGCTGGTATCTTACGTCCCTTCCTAACCAAGAAATGCGAGAAATACAAATATTGTTTATTTTAGTGCAAAGCAAGATAAACTTTTTTTATTTTTATTTCGTTTATTTATTTATTTTAGCCTTTCCCTTTGATAGGCTTTCCTCTCTGAAGCTAGCCTCAAAGCTTCAACTCCTTCCCTTAATGATGTGCTGTAGGTTAGTTATTAAAGATTTAACCATAAAATGTTGGAACTTCTTTTTATTTTTTCCATACTTTTTGGGGATAAGTTTCAGAACTTTACTCTGTCCTTTGTAAAGATGTAAAATTGCTATGAAAGGGTTGGCAGGAACAACATTTCTAGAGAAGCTGGCAAAAGCCAGAAAGATCATAGTGTTTATAAAAAACCTTGCAGTTTGTGTCCCAAAACATTTATTATCCTACTTATTCATTAACTTAAGAACTGATTTAAACGTATTCTGCATGTAAAATGATGAAGAATTTCATTTGGCTCTGTAACCATATAAATGAACATTATGGTACAACTTTGGAAAGTGCTAATATAAACCTAAGCTTAATAGATAGAAATATAAAGTCCAGATAAATGGAAAGAACAGTACTATTTTGCTCTACACTTCAGATGGCATCTGGAATATTATGTTCAGTCATGGCACCACAATTTTTAGTAAGACATTGACAAACTTGTGAGCATTAAGAGAACAGTCATGCTGATAGCAATTTGGAAATGATGGTGATGTTTAGTCTTAAGAAGGCTTACAGATAATCTGAAAGTGGATGATACAATAGAATCATATTGTGCACTTCTGAGGACAGAAATCTGATAGAATAAATTGCAGAGAAGTCTACATTGGCTTCCGTAAGAAAGAGCCTTGCTGTGTGGAGAACTGTCAGAAAGTGGAATGTATTACTAATAAAACCTCAAATTTTCCTTCTGACAGAAATGTTCAAGAGAAAACTGGGATGAAAAGTTGTTAGCCACGGTTTTTCTATTCAATTTATTTAATAGGCTATATTGTTTATGTTACAAAACAATACGATTTTTTTGAAAACTTATTCTCCCTCGCTAACCATCAGCTGTAAATTTTCCCACTTTAGAATTACTGTTGTTAGTTAAATTTGAAGGCAATTTTACATTGAGAGGGAGGTAGGTTGGGGAAGACCACCTTGTTCCCTTCTAATTATGAAATATGTGGATTCTATTTTATTTTACTTTTAATTTTTCTCCCAAACATGACATGGTGTCTTTCTAGTTAAAAGGTGCCTGTTCATATATTCATTCCTACTTTTTTGTATGGTAACTTAAAATTACTTTTGAGATGCATGCTTTATATTCTTAAGCAATCGTACTTGCTACACTGTTTTTTATGGATGGAATAGTTAGCTTCTGAATAAAACTGTGACTATGGTAAAGCTAACGGATACTTTTTTTTTTCCAATTGAAAGAGATTTTTACATATATTTTTTCTTTTGTCCTCTCTCCCTTTCTTTCATGAGAAACCCTAAAGGGTTCCATAGCTGTAAAATTAGTCAATAGGAGGAAATGGCAATTATTGAATATAATATAAAGAAATATTTAAAGTTGTGATAGGGTTTGGAATAAGGATGAATATGCTGTATTATTTTAAACAGTAAACATCATCAGAAATGATAAAACAATGACATAAACCCTAAAGATATTTAAATGAAAGACCTTGAACTTTACTTAGAATTATTTTGATTTGACTTTCTGATTTAAAAAGTAAAGTCCCAAGAGAGAAGCCAATCGCCAAAATTCATAGGAATCTTTCAGGCACATGGTTTTTAAAATATATAATAATTGAGCCATTCAAATTTTTTTGATTCTTCATTTCTTTCACCTGTAAAAATAATCTTTTTATTACATCAAAATTATGCTTCTCTAATTGTCATGAATGTCAAATGACACAATTTATAGTAACATCTTGTAAGTGATGAAGCTAGACAAAGGTAAAGTATTATTGTAATTAGGCTGATCCCAGTCTTATTCAATGCCATTGCTAACTTTCTTTGCTCAAATCAACTCCATTGGATTTAAAAATAAAGTTAATAACTTTTAAAATGTATAGTTTAGGTATAGGAAGTCTTAGTTTGTCAAGCTATTCATATTCACATATACTCTATAGATTTTGCTAATAGTATTATTTCATAACACTGAAATTTGGTTATGAAATGTTTACTTTTTAGGGACTTAATGACACTGAACTCTCTTTATAGACTTGTGGACAAAATAAGTTTTAGGGATATAAAATGTCATTGCTACTGTTACAATATATGTTCAAACTATCACATATTGCTTTCAGAAATATGCACATTACAAATGGTAGTAGACCTTAAAAATGGAGATTGCTTTCAATTGATTATGGCTGTATGCTGAGCTATTTAATTGTTGGAAATGAATTGACATATTGTAAAGTAAACAATGAAGCTGATTTTCAAAATGATAAAACTGTAACCTAATTCAATAAATTGAATCAGATTACGCAAACGTTTTTGCACTTCATTAAGGAATTAGTCAGTATAATTAATGGGAGAGCTTTTTATCATGTTCACGTGTTGATATATGGCTGAAGATATATACAGTAGACTAAACTATTTGAAGATCTTTTGTGCCATTTCACATTAATTAAAGTTGCCACAGACCTAATTCCTAGAAAATGAATACCATGGACTTTTTTTTTTTTTTTGGCTAATTTAGGATACAATGAGTAGGTCAGGCTATGACTCTTTTCTTTAAAAGACATTTATTGATTTTTCAAACAAAATGGTATTGTGAGTTGGCTCCTAACTTAGAAACTAAAAGGTCTGGCCTTTATTCTCTTCCTCATCGCTTGCTAGCTGTGTGACATTGAGTAACACTACCTGCCCTCACTTGTTCAGCCATTACAGGTAGGAATTGGTACCTATTATGTTCTAGTCAATTTAGGTTTTATGATCCCAGTTTATTGATTATATTCCTACATCAAGCTGCCTTCTGAAATACCTACTTTATCATGTAAAGACCACCATCATAAGTTCTGCCTTATTTCTTACTCAATAGGACTTTGTGAAGAACATAGTAAGCGAATGCAGCAGTCCCCAACCTTTTTGGCACCAGGGACTGGTTTTGTGGAAGACATTTTTTCCACTGATGGGGGTGGGTGGGAAGTATGGTTTTGGGATGATTCAAGCACATTATATTTATTGTGCACTTTATTTCTATTATTATTACATTGTAATATATAATGAAATAATACAACTCACCACACCATCTGCAGGTGATGGGAGACAGTGACAGATCATCAGGCATTAGATTCTCATAAGGAACATACAACCTAGATCTCTCGCATGTGCAGTTCACAATAGGGTTCCTGATCCTATGAAACTCTAATGTCCTCACTGATCTGACAGGAGATGGAGCTCAGGCGCTAATTCAAACAATGGGGAGTGGCTTCAAATACAGATGAAGATTTGCTTGCTCACCTGCCACTCAGCTCCTGCTGTGTGGCCCAGGTCCTAACAGGTCAAGGACCCATACTGGTCTGTGGCCTGGAGTTTGGGTACCCCTGAGCTAATGTGATCACAAAACACTTTGCAAAGTGTGACATAGCAAGATGCCATCCGATTCAGAGTTTTATGATGATGATTTTTAAAACAGATAATTTGCTTTGTTTCACATGGAATACCAGTTATTTATCTCTCTATTTGAATGTTTGAATATATCAGTTCTGGGAATTATGGGTTCTTTCCCATATTTATGGCATCAGGTTATAATCATTTCTTGTTTCTTTTTTTGTTTTTTATTTGAGACAGAGTTTTGTTCTTGTTGTACAGGCTGGAGTGCAGTGGTGCGATCTCGGCTCACTGCAACCTCTGCCTCCTGGGTTCAAGCAATTCTCCTGCCTCAGCCTCTGGAGTAGCTGGGATTACAGGCGCCCATCACCATGCCTGGCTAATTTTTGTATTTTTAGTAGAGACAGGGTTTCACCATGTTGGCCAGGCTGGTCTCGACCTCTTGACCTGAAGCAATCTGCCTGCCTCAGCCTCTCAAAGTGTTGGGATTACAGGTGTGAGCCAATGCATTGGGCCCATTTCTTTATTTTTAAAAAAAAAAATTTTGTTTTGTATTTTTCAATTAGATCAAATAAAATATTTTTTTCCCTGATACAGTTCTCTTATGTCATTGATTTGTTTTTGTCTATTATATATAGAATTTTGTGATTCATATTTAACTTACTGGAATACATCCTACATGACTTTTTGATTGAATATCATTCTATTCAGATAAAACACATTTCCATTAGTTTTCATTTCAGAAATGCAATAATTTTGGAGATACTATTTTTCTAAAGATATATATTTTTAATTATTTGAGCTTACTTCCTGGGATGTAAGGATATAATTTCAGGAAAGAGTGTTGAGTTTTTAAGGATTAAAGGGGATGTAACACTCTGTTTATTCCAAAGAACTATGCAAATGTAAGTTATTATTTTGGGTTTAATTTACAAATGTGATGCTATATTATCAAGATTATCTTTAAACATGTAAAATGTTTAATATTAAAGGCAATAAAATGTTTAGTTCCCAAAGTAAAGCATTATTCCTTAAAAGTCAAGTTTTGGACCTATTCGTTTTCCTATTAAAACATCTATTTTCTAAATTTGAAAATGTAACATTGTGAAAGTTTTTCAAATGTATCCCTCTATTTGGATACCTTCATTTATCTATTAAAGCAGTAAATGCCCTTTGTATTATCTATTATCTTATATTGCTTAATAAAATTCTTTTAGGGAATTAAATTATGGAGAAATGTTTAAGTAGGATTCCATGGAACCATGTTGATTCAAATGAATATAAATGCAAGTATGTCTAAATTCCAAGAAAATTAATCCCTTAGTGTTACAATATAATGATATTTTGAAGTTATTTGAGCATGAAATTCATCTCATCATACCTAACCTTTAAGTAACTTATTGAATAAATTAAGTTTAAGGATACTATTCCAAGGAGAACCTGTTACCATATGACCTGTCCATATGAGTTGTCTTTTTGATTTATAATGGCAATTGCTTTCTCGGCATGGATTTCATGACATAATAATATTCTATGAATTTTTGAAATTACAGTGAGTTCCACATCAATCATCTATAATAAAATACTATATGTATCAATGAGAGAGAACTATTGGAATATAGACATTTTAGAAATATGTACTTCCTCCAAATACCAATGCCATTATTTTAATGAAATGGGGTGGTTTGCTTCCTTTGATTTTTTAAAATTGATCATAAAAACTGTCAGCATTATCACTCCCATTAGCGTATCATCCCATCATCTGAACAGCAATCTTCATTTTACCTTGAATATGTTGACTGTCTGTCCAGCAAATTCTGCCTAGACCACTTTTGATCTTGGCCTGAATTCCAGAGAATCTATTGCTTCTGGAGTTTCTATGCATTAATATTTTAAATTTCAGGATTATAATTAAACACATATGTCATGGACTACCATTATCTGGCCATGTTTCTTTTATCTGTAAGAGATTCAGAGAGATTTAAAGTGAGATCTTAGTCATGTAAAGAATTGACTGTGCTGCTGTTTTTTTCTCAGTTTCTCTTTAAAAAATATTGAAAATTCCTTGTTATAGGCCTTCATGTGTACATATTCCTATTCTATATGAAAAAAACTGTACATAAAATTTGACATCTGCAGCTGCTTCATTTTTTTGTTTTTATTTTTATTTATTTATTATTTTGAGATAGAGTTTTGCTCTTGTTGCCCAAGATGGAGTGCAATGGCATGATCTCTACTCACTGCAACCTCTGCCTTCCAGATTCAAGCAATTCTCCTGCCTCCCAAGTAGCTGAGATTACAGGCACACACCACCACACCCAGCCGATTTTTTGTATTTTTAGTAAAAACAGAGCTTCACCATGTTGGCCAGGGTGGTCTCGAACTCCTGACTCAGGTGACCCACCTGCCTTGGCCTCCCAAAGTGCTGGGATTACAGGCGTGAGCCACTGCACCTGGTCGTTTTTTACTTAATATCACTTTTTGCTCCTAAAATGTCATATCAACTAGCATGCAGGGTTCTTTATTCTCTGGACATATTTTTATGTCATCTTTTCATTACTGATTATTACATGTTCAACTGATTTATTTTTATAATAAATCCAATAAAATGCATAAGTTTAGCATTTCATAAGTAGCATAGTTGGAAACCCAATTAGTATATTCAAAGAGAATATTACTTTTTAGAAATAATTTTTAAAAGGCTTATTCAAATTTATAATTCTCACCGTATGGGTTAGAATAGCCATGGCCATATTGCAGATGCAGACCACAATAAAGAATATTTTGACAAATGAAAAATATTTGAAATTTGCTTCCAAATAATTGCTTGAGCTTATCTACATAGTACTTCTCACATCTCTTTTATAGATATTCTTGCATTTATAAAGCATATTTATTAAGACTTTGTACATAGGATATAATCAACAGAAGTAAAAACAACTTGTCAGTTACATTTGCATTTAATTTTAAAATTCCAACTACTTTTATATATACAATCAATATTTATGTCTATGTATATTTTTTTACCACTGCATCTTCTATTGCTAGCGTAGTTTCTGGCCAAAATGTTGTTAAATTAAATATGATTCCATTAGTAAGTATAATAAATTGGTTAAAACAAAAGGCACTGCAAACAATTCATAACTAACTACTACATGGTAGGAACATTGCTAATAGCTAATATATCATTTCATTTATTTCTCGTGTCAATTTATGAAGGAGGTGTTGTTTGTCTCATTTAACAGATGAGTATTAAGGTACACAAAATTTAAATAGTCTGCTCAAATGGAAATGAAGGGCCCAATTGGGGATTGAATTCAGTGATAAATAATTATAAATCTTGTTTTCACTATCACTTATGCTATTTCCAAGGAATCCATTAATCTCTTTAGGTAACATTCATATTTTGATCAGAATTGAAAGAAGATGAATTGAATTTTTCATTGATAAAAAATTGTTAGATGAACTTTTTAAAGGACAGGGTCAAATTTTAAAAGAACACCTCAGATTTTCATTAGCATGCTTAATCCTAATTTCAGAAACTTCTTACAGCACCACTGCATGTATTGGACATGTAAGTTAAATTATTGCATAGTAGGCGTTTTGGTCACTAGTTTACACCATAATATCTTCTAGATAGTGTTTTATTTCTCTCATAATACTGGTGGAAAGCTTAAGAACTGTTTTAAAATAGTTTCATTTTGAAGATTTATATATTTTATAGTTACATTTTAAAGTGTTGAGATGTTCAGTCTCATGATTTTTTGGAGGTAGGGTATATGGGGGTAGCAAAATGATAGATTGAGAGATCTTAAAAATTATATTTCCACATTATTGACCAAGCTTAATTCATTAATATTCCATTATGTTTGAATTTTAGTTCTAACTTAGCTATTACTTTATTGAGTGTGGAAAAGTCTACTAAACTTTTTTTTTCTTTTACATTGCACTTTGTTTGCTAAATAATGCAGTACTAATAGACTGACAAATGTTTTATGCTATTAGAGTTATTTCTGAACGTTATAAATAGTTCAACACATTGTAGTGTTAGCTGTAAGTCCCAAGCATGCTACTTTACCCTAAATAATTGAAAAAATAATTTCTTAACTTTTATTAATAACTCACTCTTATAGTCTTCATTTACCCTATTGCTCATTAGTAGTAAATCTCTGTGTTATTATTTATTTGTGCAATTGATAAAGCTCCTGGTCAAAGCAATGTCACAATTGGCATCCAAGGGAAGTTCAGCATAAGCTCTTTGGCTCCAGAAATTATGGTCATACTTTTCATGATACTATATTAGACATTAAACTGTTTGATATAATTAGCAAAAGTAGTTGAAGCTATTTTTCAAATATTCAATTTGTATGTTATTATTACAAGATTTTGGAAAATACGAAGGCGTCACTCATAATCCTACCATGCTGTATAAAGTATATTTCCTTTGTGTTTATTAACACTGAGTTCTTGCTCAAAAATCTATGGAATATGTACCAAAATATCCTATTTCTTTCCATTTTTGAAAATGTGGTACACCAGTTATTTATAAATATACTACAGCCAACTCCCATCATTTTAAAGCAAATATGGTAAATTCACAATTCTGTCATTAGTATCATTCCCCCCTTGCATTGCATCTATAACAATTGTGGGTCCTTTTATGTTTTTATTGTTTTCACACCAAGATCTTATTGAACAGGGAATAGAGATTGTTTCAACCATTTATGGCTAGTAAGCATCTCAAATTCTACATGTATTTAGTTATTCTGCTTTATCCTGTTTTCCAAAAGAACAGGTTGTTTCTTAAATTCACAAAAAGTTTAGTCTTGATAGAAAAATGAACCTATAGCATTTTTATTTTGTATTGAATCTCAAAATCCAAATGAGAGATTTGAATATTAGGACCTTGACTTGACTCACCTCTGCTTAATTTTGACAGTTGTCTTAAAGTGAATTTAGTGTTAAATGAAATTTTCTGGACTGATAACTCAAGACCTGAAGGGAACAATTCTAGTGGTGAGAAAGTAATTTTCTGGCCTAATTACACCTTTGGCCTCACTACAAAGTCTGTCAACAAAAATGCCAGGTTTGATCATGATTTTTTTTGACATGTATTCACCAATCTACTTCACACTGGAGATTTTTTTTACAATAGCATTGGGTATTTGCAACCTAACTAAGATTTTACATCTGGGAATAAAACCTCAGTGTACTGTTTCCAACAGGTGATTCACTTAAATCTGTTTTAAATGAAAAATTATGTGGATATTAATGAACTTTACATATTGAACTCTGGAAATCTACATGGCCATATTATTTGAGACAGCCGTGTGAATTATATCAACTATCGTCAAATACCTGGTGAATTGGTTTTTTAAAACAACTGAAAAACTGGAGTCTCCAGAATCTCTATTTCTTATTTATATTCACTCTGAAACTAGCAGGGTTAGATAAGCTAATAGTTGGGCATCTATAAAACTGGGCTCTTTCTTAAGGAGATTTGGGTCCCTGTAAGGTTGATTAACCTTAACCACTAAATATTGGTGGCTAGTAAGCAAATGTTGGCAATTCCTTTAAATTTCTGAGCGTGAGTTTCTCTACATTTCAGTGCTCCAGTAGCACATTGTTTAGCTGTCAACCCTTGAATCTTTTCTCCAATAATGCCTTGACCAGAAAGCATGTATCTGTTGCATGTTTTTCACCTGAACCTAGGCTCTACTCCTCAAATTTGAATTGTCTGTCTTTTCAATCTAGCTTTTTGCTTTCTCCTCTCTTTGCATTTTTTTCTCTTATGTTTTATTTAAAACATTTAAAATGACAAAGTTGTTTATGAAGCCTGTGTTTAGCAGAGGCTAAGTTCTGATGAAAGAATCAAAGTAACAAAGATAACTGATTGATGTTATTGAATTATTGTCTCTGTTGTTCTGCTGTTTAACTCCTCCATCTACTTTTGATACATTTTATTCTCAATTGGAGAAGTTACACACACACACACACAATCATATACACAATTACACACACCCTTTATTTCCAAATAAGTAAAATATTCATAGTCATTAAATAGAGTATCTTCTTGTTGCAGAAAATCTGAAGTGAATATTAGATATCATACAATATATTCATAACTATTTCAAAATTTATTTGTGAAATGCGCACTTTAGAAATGTTCCTTTCATAAATATTCAACAAATATTTATGATGAGTTGCAAAGATGAATGACATTGCCACTCAGTAATCTATAATTGAAGGTACAAAGTAGCAATACCAAGAGAGTTACATAACAGCACTATAAATTTTTTCAAAGAGGAAGAGAAAACTAGGGGTTAAAGGCATAATTATTCTCATTATAGTGGAAAGTGCCATTTTTATATTGGCTTAAAAAGAGTATGATTCAACTCAAAACTTCATTTGTACAACACAAATATGAAAATTAAATCCGATAGCAATATTTTTTGTGGAAAAATATATGAGTTTCATGGTATTACAAAGCATATAATGTGGCTGTTTGAAGATTCAAGGCAATCACTGACTGATTAATGAATATGTAATTTTTAGATCATTAGAGTATTAGTAATTGTTACCATCTATTGGGATTTATCATATTTCAGTTACTAAGTCCTTTTACATATATTAGCTCATTTAATACTGATAAAATATCTGTGGGTAGTTATTACCATTTCCATTTTACAGATGAGTAAATTTTGGCACTGATTTTTCTTGCTCAAGACTGTTAACATAACTGCCAAGCCTGTTTCCTGAATCACAAGGTGACAGTCTTGTATGTTTATCGGCAGCATTGGGATCATTTATGGTTGTTATATTTTGATCGTGATTTTTAAAAAAGCATGTATTCATCAGTTTATTTCATTCTGAACCCTTTTAACAATAGTATTTGATGTTTTCAACCTAAGCAAGATTTTTACATCTGGGAACAAAACCTCTGTGTACCGTTGCCAACATGGTGATTCACTGAAGTCTATTTTAAATTTGATGCTGTGTGGCTGCTGACAAACTCTACATATTGCTTTGTTTTGGCAGCAGCCTTGTTTGCTTAGACGATATCAACAGTATTGTGTCCATTTGTGGTTGTTACGTCTTGAGAGGTCATGATAGAAAACATTGCCCAAATTGGGTAATCACAACTGGAAGTTATTACATTAACATTGGTTGAAGGAAATGAGAATATTTAGAGAAGAATGGGGGCTCTGAGTAGGGACATTATCACTGTCTTTGGATATAGTTACGGAGGTTACAGATTAATTCTCCATTGTTCCAGAAGGCAGGACTGAACGAGTGACTGTCACTCATGGGAGAAAAAATGGTTCAAATATGAGCCCACTGAGAAACTGTGTGGACCATATTGCATGGAAATCTCATTAGAAATGCCTTGAGTACTCTCTCCCAGGTGTGTTGTACAGGGATGTTTTACATTTAGGATAATGTTATAGTTATTATTAATTCTAAGATTCAATCTGCCTATGAAATAGAAATAAACTTAATTTCAAGGGATCTTTTTTTCTTGAAGATTTTCATTTGATATTTTATTATGGGAACATATAATCTAGGAAATGTATCCTCCTTCTCAGGATTATATGGAAACAATATAATTTTTGAGTTAAGTGTTTGAAATATAAAATACACACATTTGATTATATCATATTTAGATGTATTAATCTGTCTAATCATATACATAGTCATCTATATTGATAGTCTTCCATTAATTATTCCATTGTATAGAAAATGTTGTAATATCCCAGAACATAGTAAATCATGTTCTTTCTTTTTTCCTGCTACTTTAATTTGTCCTTTGACAGATTTAAGTGACAAAAAATAAAATCCTTATATTTTACCTAATAAAAATTAAATTGAAAATATCTCAGGAAATTAATTTTACTATGTGCTAAGATATTTTCTAGTGATTAAGTTCATATTTACTCAAGATAAAACAATGTAACAAAATTAAAATTGTTCTTATGAGTCATATATATATATGTATGTGTCTGTGTGTGTATGTGTGTTTAAGCAGCTAGTATTACTGTTATTCTTTGTAATAAACAACATGGAAAATCTTATAAAGATATTTGAAAACTTCTTTTTGCTTTTCCCCTGTCTAGGACATGAGATTGTTCTATAACAATCTTTTTCTATAACAATGTTATAGAACAATCTCATGTCCTTTTTTTTATTATTTTCATCACTTTATCCATAATACTCTCTAAAGAGTGTTACGTCTATCACTAGATATTGGACATTTGATGTCATTTTAAACTTGTCAGTGACTAAAAAGAAACTCATTATTTCTTCTATAACAGCTAGACTGATTTCTCTCTTTTTATTAGTGGTAATTTCTGTTTTAAATAATTACACAGACTAAAGAACTGAAGGAGTTAACTATAATTCCTAACATAATCTAACATAACAAAAGGCAGCTTACACATTACATAAAAATATTTTAGAGATTTATTTAAAATCCTAACATATTTTAAGAATCCATATACTATATCATCTCCCAACAACTTTCTGTGGTACATGTAGTACCATGAGAAATTAAGACTAGGGTTTGCTGCTGAAAATCAGCCAGATAATGGCAGAGAATTTGAATTCATAACTCCATGCCTCTGCTCGTCCCAATATATGGGGCTATGGTTGTCTCATAACCCCAATACATTTGCTTACTTTATTCTTGGTGAAAATAGAATGATTTTGTGTTGTATTATAACCCTAAAGTTATTACCAAACATATTTTAAAATTGTTAAATTGAAAATGGGTATACATATTTTATATGCCAGATCTGAAATATTGACATGCTGTATGTTCAAAACCCTTGTATATAATTATGACCCTTCTAACATTAAGCAGGTGACTGGATTTAATATAAGTCAGGCATAAAGTGCCCTGCATGTAGCAACATAGTGAATCAAGCAAATTATCAAACAGGAAAGCTCATTTTGTGCTCAGGGCAATTTCGGCTGCCAGCACTTATACATCAAAATTTCACTCAATGTACAATTGATTTTATTTTATTTTGTTTATTTTTAATTCCCTACAGCAGGCTATGTTAGTTTTGTACAATGCTGTTTGCATCATTAGGTTCCTAAGAAATTATAGTTGTTTCAGTCATGGTTGACCAAAATATTATTCTCTTCTTATAGACCATGGATATTGGTTCTTGAATGGGTACCACTGAATTGAAATTGTATAATGCCAGTGACTCAAATACACACAACACATAACACACAGAAAAAGCATTAGTGTTGTTAGAAACATGAACATCTAAAAACTAATGCTGTAAAATCAGACAGCCAATGTCCATTAAAGATATTTTCCACTTCAAGGGAAGAGGTTCAAATTAAAGTTTGAAAGTCCAGTCTTAAAGCAGGAATAAATTCCTGTGTAAGATGATACATGTCTTCTTTTCACAGTTGCTTTTTATGTTGCCTTAAAACATGTCAAAAAAAAAGAAAATCCCCAACAGAGGAGCCTAAAAGGAATGTCAGCTCTGTGGTTATGTAAATTGAATTGAGTGCTTTACAGCAGGTTTAAGATTTTTATAACTCAGAAGTTGTTAACAGCCAGCTGGTTTGTATCTGTTTTTTATGGTTATTCTTGTCATATGCAGCCTCCACAATTCTTAATTATATTTTATGGTATGTGTTTTCCTCCTCCTGAATCCCTTAGCCACTCTTTGCTTTACAAGATATTTTCCACTGGGAAGGGAACAAGCACAGAGATGGGACTTCATCATTGGAAATACAGTGGTATAATTACTTACCACTAACAGCTCTACAGTGTGAAATTCAAGTAACTTTCCATTGCAAATTCATAACCTTCTATTAGAGCATTGAAATTGCTTTAATGTAACAATATCTGCTTGTAAATTTGTGAGCCACCCCCCAGTAAGAGTCAAAAACATGATTATGACACTCTTTGTATTCCATTTTTTAGAAGAAGTGATATACAGAAACTTCCTTCCTTCCTACCTTGTTTCCTCTCAGTATTCATTACGTAAATTAATTTCTGTCTCATAGTTAAGTTCTAAATGTGTACTTTGTTTTCTATTTTTGATTATACAAAGAGGTAGTGACTTCTAGTATGGTTCTAAAAATCTTATGTTCTGGTTAAAAGGCATTTCTTTTAGCCTCAGAGGTGTGAATAAACTTTTCTGAGATTTTTAACACCCTAACTTAAAAATTGGGCTAATATTCAGATTTTTCTCCTAAGAAAAACAGAGTGAAGAAATATGTTCTGAATTTGAAAAAATGTTTTTAAAAATCAAAATGTGTGCAATTATCAAGGAAGTATATGTGTGCTTATTTCACAGGGACATTTTTAGAGACTTCAAATCTTTGAAACTATGTACACATTTTTGGTATTAGTTCTTTGCAAAATAAAAATATTCCAGCAAGATCTCTTCCTCAAATCACAGTTTCTAGTTTTTGGAATACAATGTTGTAGGTTTTAGACTTTTAAATAATCACATTGAAATATATTATAGCTAATATTTCCTACAAGGTGAGAATATTTAGGCCAAGTGAAGGAGATTAAAATAAGTAATATGTTTTGGTATACATTACATGGATATAGTGCTTTTTTTATTACTTTTTTTTGAGATGGAGTTTCGCTCTTATTGCCCAGGCTGGAGGGCAGTGGCACGATCTCAGCTTACTGCAACCTCAGCCTCCCGGGTTCAAGAGATTTTCTTGCCTCAGCCTGCCAAGTACCTGGGATCACAGGCTCCCACGACTATGCCAGCTAATCTTTTGTATTTTTAGTAGAGATGGGGTTTCACCATGTTGGCCAGGCTAGTCTCAAACTCCTGAACATAGGTGATCCACCCGCCTCAGCTTCCCAAAGTGCTGGGATTACAGGCATGAGCCACAGAGCCTGGCCATCAATTTTGAGTATAAGAAATATATAATGCATAATGTTCAATGAAACAATAAATATACATCCCTAAGAATGAATTTATATAATTCAGTTTTATTACCTTGATAGGGGAAATCACCATAATTATTGTGATATGATATTTTCAAACATTATGCCTTTTAGTCACATATCATAGATATACTGTGTTTAAGACTACAGAGTTATGGTTCAGAAAGATTTATTTTGAGTCACTGAACACTTTCATTTTAGTGTTAAGGTATTTAATAGAAGTTAGTTTTTCTTCTTTTAAAACTGGATATCAAAGTACATTTTTTATTTTGTGTTGAATTATTTAAGTTCGTGAGTATACTTTTGAAAGTAAATTCAGGGACACGGTGGCTCACACCCGTAATCCCAGCACTCCGGGAGGCAAAGGTGGAAGGATTGCTTGAGCTGAGTTCAAGACAAGCCCGGGCAACATAGTGAGACCCCATCTCTGAAAAAATAAAAAATAAAAAAATAGAATTACTCAGACATAAAAAAGAGAAAGTAAATTCTACTCATGAGGCATGTTTCTGTGTTAATCATTTTGAGATTTGGTACATTCACAACATTTTGTACTGTGTATGTATATGTGGGTCTCCACTAGAAAGTCAAATGAGCACCAGACGAAATTGTGAAAAAGAATAAAAAGAAACCTTTTTTTTTTTTTTTTATTTGAGACAGGGTCTCAATCTGTCACCCAGGCTGGAGTAAGAATAAAAGAATAAAAATAAACTTTTTTTCTTCTTGAGACAGGGTCTCAGTCTGTCACCCAGACTGGAGTGCAGTGGTGTGATCACTGGCTCAGTGTGGCCTCAACCTCCTGACCTTTTGGGCTCTAGCAATCCTCCCATCTCAGCCTCCCTAGTAGTTGGAACTATAGGCATATGCCACCATGCCCAGCTAATTTTTAATTTTTTTAATAGAGATAAGGTCACACTGTGTTTAAATGCTGGAATTACAGAAATGAGCCACTATACCCGGCCTAGGAAGCATTTTTGAATGTCAACCATGTACAATGCACCATACTAGGAGACATTTTATATACTGTAATTTATTTTCCGCAAGATCCTATACAGTGCATGCAATTAGCTCCATTAATAAAATGAGGACTCTAAGTCTCAGGTTAGTTAGTTGACTTGATCAATAATTTATAACTAAGAAGCAGTGGAGACAGTTGTTTGATATGTATATGCACACACACACATGTTTATGTATATATATGTGTGTGTGTGTATATATATATACACATACCTGTACACATATATATGTTCATATATATGTGCATATTTATATGCGCATATATATATATATATATATATATATATGAAAGAAGAACAGTCAATCTGTACTCAAGGTAAAGGAGATGAGTTTTCAAGTCAGTATCTGTCTATCTATATCTGTCTATCAATCTATCTGTCTATCTATCTGTCTATCTATCTATACTTTTCAAGTCAGAATATATATATTCTGACTTGAAAACTCATCTTCTTTCCCATGGTACAGATTGACTATTCAAAAATGTTTGGAGATATAACAGTGTTTTGATTTTGTTAGAGAAAGCTAATTTGTCAGCATTATAGAGATAGGATGACAGCCTATGCAAAGGAACTAACATAATTTAACAAAAATATTTAGGAAGAAGAAATAAAGTAGTAAAAATGTTGGAAAGAAAAGACAACAAGCATGGTTAGAGAAGGATCAACAAAACGTGCTCCAATTTTGGGTAAGATAAATCAAACAGAGAAAATTTAGCCTAGACTTAGACTGGTGGCCATAAAATGCAGTTTAGTTAGCTGTTTTCACAGGGTTAAGGAGCTATATACTGACAAATAGAAGTTTGACCAGATGCCCTATTCAGTAGGCAGAAGAAAAATGTTAGGCCAATGATTAAATTAAAATAAATAAATAAATAGAAGCTGAGAGTTACTTGATCTGATACTGACAGTTTGGACTGAATAGAAGTATAATTTGGGCATGTGGTGAGGAAGAATGCAGAATGAACAGGGAATGCCCAAGTAATGACACAGGCAAGCAAAATCACACTTAAGGCTCATCTGAAGTAGTTTACCAATGTAAAACAATGGCTAAATATCTTGTGGGACTGGACTGAATTAAATAAGGAAAAAAAAGACGCAAGACCAGTGTGCTTCTAAATAAAGCCCAATACCCAAAATCCCAAATAACTTACTTTAAAAAACTTGCTAATGATAACCTTTGAAGTATGTCACGCAAGTTTCAAGCTCATTAAATTATTGGCCAATTAAAAATTACTTTCTACTTTCTTTTTTATATGCTTCATAAAAAATGTGACTGTTCCAGAATTTCCCTTTAATAACTTTTTCTTCTTTGGCAGATTAATTTAGACCATGTTGACATTTTGTAAATAAAGTTTTCTTGGGAATATGAACAAAATTAAAACACCAACAAATTAAAGCAAATGAAAAAGAAAGATGGGAAAAAGTGAAATAGTATTCTGATTTAGGACTGCAGTATTTAGAACACTGAAGGATTTAAGTGTCATTTCTAAGATTTTTAATTTTAATTTTTATTTTGTGTGCTTTCATTAAGAAAGAGGCAGCCAGGCTCAGTGGCTCACGTCTGTAATCCCAGCACTTAGGGAGGCAGAGGTGGGCAGATCACCTGAGGTCGGGAGTTCGAGACCAGCCTGACCAACATGGAGAAACCCTGTCTCTCCTGAAAAATACAAAATTAGCCGGGCATGGTGGCGGGCACCTGTAATCCCAGCTACTCGGGAGGCTGAGGCAGGAGAATCGCTTGAACCTGGGAGGCAGAGGTTGCGGTGAGCCGAGATCCCTACATTGCACTCAAGCCTAGACAAAAAGAGTAAAACTCTGTTTCAAAAAAAAAAAAAAATTAAAAAAAAAAAGAGACATCACCAATGTCAGCCTGCTATGCTTTCATGAAGGTTTTGCTAAGTGATGTCTTGATTTCTGTATTCAAGTGATTGGGAGAAAATCTTACACACAGAGTAATTAACAGTAAAAATAATGTAATAACATGGCATAGCATTATGATATGTGTATCAAATGAGTGGGGCAGTCATTGAGGGCTGAAAAGTTCTGAAGTTCTAATCATCACAGCTGTAGCCATCAGGGAAGGTTTCTTGCAGAAAGTTGAAGAAACAAGTTGCTTTCAATGATTTCAAATGAGCAATCTGGAAATTTTCTAGTTTTACATCTTCAGCTTTTCTCTGAAGTTGACTAAACTATGTTAGAGGTTACACATCACAAAAAAGTTAATGCTGCCATGTAGATTAGAATCATAAGTCTGTACAACATGCAAAGTAAGAGATGTTCTTTAATGAAAGATAAACCTCCAACTTTTCCTTTAAGCCTGCCTTTCTTCATTCCCCACCTATCTCTGTACCAAATAAACATTTTATCATTTTTTTATTGTTAGAATTATTTTTGTTTATCAAAGCCATCTGTCATATAATCACTGTATATGTATTTGAGATCATTTGGTGACATAATGGCCAAAATATTGGCATTTTAGGCTTTGAAGTTGAGTTGAATGTAACGTTTGTGAACTGTAATGCTTATGAAAACTCAAGTGCCAACACATTTCCATGTACTCGCATATTACACTTGGACATGTGGGTCAGTTTTTCAGTTTATTGAGGCCCACTTATAGTACAGTAGTTAAGAGTGTAAATTTTGGAGTTAGACACATCTGGTTTGAACTGACTGCCCCATTTATTAGTTGTATTTTATTTTATTTTATTTTATTTTATTTTATTTTATTTTATTTTATTTTATTTTATTTTACTTTATTTTATTTTATTTTATTTTATTTTATTTTATTTTATTTTATTTTATTTTATTTTATTTTATTTTGAGACAGAGTCTCACTCTGTCGCCCAGGCTGGAGTGTGGTGGTGCAGTCTCGGCTCACTGCAACCTCCATCTCCTGGGTTCAAGCGATTCTCCTGCCTCAGCCTCCCGAGTTGCTGGGATTACAGGTGTGCTCCGCCACACCCGGCTTATTTTTGTATTTTTAGTAAAGACCAGGTTTCACCGTGTTAGCCAGGCTGGTCTCAAACTCCTAACTCAGGTGATCTTCCCGCCTCAGCCTCCCAAAGTGCTGGAATTATAAGCATGAGCTACTATGCCCGGCCTATTAGTCATCTAATTTTAGATGGTTACCTATCCCTTTGCACATCATTCTCCTCATTTAAAATAGTGTATGCTTGTGTTTATACACACACCCATACATACTATAGATGTAGTACAATTATTAACAGAACGCTGACTATAGTTTTGAGCACACAGTGCAAATATAAATAGTGGTTCTATTCTTTCTTTTTTTTTCTGATGAGAACATTTAAGATCTACTCTGTAGAAAATGTCAAATATACGTCACAGTATTGCTAAGTATAGTTACAGTGATTCTTTTCATATTTTCTGGAAAGTTACTGTAATCAGTTCTGGCATTAAAAAATAAAGAAAATAGAATTTAGAATAAATGATAGTGAATACTTCAGAAATATGCTTACTTTTCATTCAGTAATCTCTTGTTATCTATAGGTAGATAAATACCAAGTTTATATATAAAGGGAGAGATTCAAACCTAGGCTTTGTTTTGCATCCAAAATATTCTAATATTTTTGGTACATCAGGAAGGAAAAGCACTGTAAGGAAAAGCTTTAAGAAGGGAATGCTCTCCTAGCAGGTGCGATAACCACAGGTGTCAGGTGTAACAATTACAGTAGGTAAAAGCCTTAGAGACATGCGTAGGGCAGCGTCTGCCTTTGCTCTTAGTCTGAAAATTCAAAGAGCCTTCTGAGATAAGAGGAAATGACAGATCAGGGAGCAGCACTGGAGCTGAATTGACTGACGGTCATACTTCACTCAGGCTTAGATTGTTTTGTTGTTCTTTTGGTAGAGTTTACTTTTAGTTCTTTGGTAAATGTGTTGACCTTAGAACCAGCTGATGTTTGTTGGCACTGGAATGAGTGTTTCTTCTTGTGAGTAAATTTGGAAGAGTGTGTTTCTTTTGAGCATGGATTTAGGGGCGGGGTTTATTGTGCTGCTTTCTCCAGAAGATTTGGGAAATGGGGATGAATTTTGTCATCAAATAATAGAAATTAAGTTGAACTGCATTAAATGATCACTTTGTAGGTCAAAATTAGTCAAATATCAGCAATTTCATACAGTTTAACCAAATGTGTGTTTTAGTTTAAGCTTCCGAATCTGGACTTGCAATATGTAGAAAGATGAGGTCTCATTTATCTCGAGTTGGGAGGACTCAAATTTGGATAAATTGTTGGCCCTTTAAATGATCTTCTTTAATTATGTTCTGTACTGGTCATCGCGGTCCACTTTTCTACATTTTCTAGATTTCATTTCTTGTAGTGTTGCTATTTATTTATTCAAAAAGTTAACGTTTATGCTATGGAGGGTACAAGAGAACAAAAAGAAA
This sequence comes from Homo sapiens, assembly GCF_000001405.40. NCBI lineage: Eukaryota > Metazoa > Chordata > Mammalia > Primates > Hominidae > Homo > Homo sapiens. The sequence continues at coordinate 71,652,804 of NC_000013.11, read as the reverse complement.
ACTTAATGAGTTATGGCCTCTACCTTCAAGGAGCTCATAGTATAATTGGACAAGCTGGTAAACACATGATAACAATATAATTCAGTATAGCTATAGTTGAGATATCTGCAAAATTTAGAAGGTGAGGCGGAGGAAGACATAATCAACTCTGCTTCGGTGAATTAATAATAACTGATTATCACTTCCTAAGAGGTGATAATTTGTGATGGTGTTTAAACTATGCATAGCAGGGAGGGGAACGATTCTTGGCAAAGAGAACAGTGAAGGAATCAGATGCTGAGTTGAAGGATAGTTCTTCGGAGTTTTAAATAGAATAGAAAGTGGAATGAGTGCAGTGACTGGTCAGTGATATATGTGGAAAGGTAGGTGAGGGACAGGTTATGAAAGCCTAAGCATTGCTATAGATAAGGTGTTTGAATCTTGAGTTCTAGGCAATGGGTAATGCCAAAAATGTGCAAGCAGAGGAGTGGAATGACTTAATTTTGTGAAGCAGAAAAAGAAAGACAATCTGCCATGGGGAGAGGGAAGATAAAGGGACAGTAACGATTTGTTAGAGTGCTGAAATCTATACTAGAATTTAGCCTTGTTTTCTAATCATTTAGATGATGAGGAGGCAGCCTCACTGTTCCATTCGTGTGGCTTGGTGCATTGCTAGTTCTAAAGACCGATCAGTGATCTCTTATGTAATCTTTATAAGCATTTGCATTTATTAGGTACCTATGTCATATGAAACAAATAGGAATACGATCTAGCATGACAAATGCCAATTAAGTAGTTCCTCAGGAATTCAGAGAAACACTCATGAAGGGTTCATTAATTTACTAAAAGTCTAGTATTTAGCAAGAATATCTCTAGGAGCTGGAATAAAGTATTGAGTAAGACATGCTGTCTGTGTCACAAACATACATTATAGATATAATCTTTCTGAACACATGAATATCTGTATATATGTGTATGTGTGTGAGATACTAGTACAAATACAGCTTGCAGTTTCCTAAAATTTATTCCAAATAGTTTCATAATATATTCAGAAGCTTATGATGCATACATTTCATGTATATGCACACATATATATACACACATATACATATACATATACATATACATATACATATACATATACAGATACAGATACAGATACAGATACATATACATGCATTCTTATCTCACTCCCAGAGTGCCATGGCACTATCACAGCTCACTGCAGCCTTGACTTCCTGGCCTCAAGTGATTCTCCCACCTCAGTATCCCAAGTAGCTGGGACTACAGGCGTGTGCCACCACACCAGGCTAATTTTTGTGTTTTTAGTAAAGACAGGATTTTGCCATGTTGTCCAGACTGATCTTGAACCCCCAGAGTTAGAACCCACTCATAAACTTTTTATTTTGTTTTCTTTTTCTCTTTTCTTTTCTTTCTTTCTTTCTTTTTTTTTTTTGTGAGACAGGGTCTCACTCTGTTGCCCAGGCTGGAGTGCAGTGGTGCAAAACACAGCTCACTGCAACCTTGATCCCCAGGGCTCAAGCAATCCACTGACCTCAGGCTCCCAAAGTGCTGGGATTACAGGCAGGAGCCACCGTGCCCTGCCCTCATGCACTTTTGAAAGACCTATGACAATAGTTCCATGATGATATCAACAAATATTTGAGCAGCCATGTTTTCACTATATTTTGCATTTTTCTTCTGTGCTATAGCAATTGTATGTCTTTTAGTACAATGATTACCAAAACTGTATTTTGCTCTTAGAATAAATGCTAAATAGCTTATATAACAGTAAGTTCAAATGACCTTTGCAAATTTTTACTAACAATAAAAAGTAATAAGATGCTTAAGTATTTGATGGCAAATTTTACTTCATGCATAATGAATTACTTTTCATAACTGAATGTCAAGACTGGTTTTGTTTGTATTTATCTTACAAGTGGAGCTTCAAACTTGAATTAAAATAATTTGTCATAAAAATTATTAACATCAAGTAATTCTTACAAATTTATTATGATGAAGATGCACTGTCAATTTTAGTGATTATGTGAATAAATGTATGTGTTGAAAGATCATATGTAGTTGTCAACTTTTATCCGAATGCCTTGATGATAATTAGAATTCGGGAAAATAGAGTTTAGAGTCTCTTAGAATTCTACAAATCCCTGATTTTCTGTTTTAAAAGTTGTTTTGGTCTTCTATTACCTCACAGAGAGAGAAAGTGTTTCTTGTATAGAACTGCTTAAATGGGTCTATTTACCACATACTCTGAAAATCTAAATATCTTATTATCTATTACAATAATATTATTTAATTTGAATCACAGTTTGAAGTTAAAAATTAAATATTTTAACTTTTATTCAGTAAATTATATTTATGGATATGTAATTGAATGTTGACATTGAGAGTAAACAGTGTAAGGAAATGGAAAACAAATTATATTTTTCTGAGAATAGAAATACTTCTTGCTGCTGTAATATACCAAGTACTGCTTATGTACTGGATTACTTGACTATTAGAAATTGTCTGTGTAACAAAACTAGCCATTGACCAAGAAACCAATGTAATGGTAGAGGAAACATTGCTGATGTGCTCTTGATATGTATTGATTGATTTGTTCTTAGAGAATATGGGGGAAATACACATGATATTATTAGTTATTTGAATCTCCTTTTATCTATTCTCCACTATTCTTGGCTATTTCAATGTGAACAAACAGTAAATATATTATAAGGAGTGAGCATATTTAGGGGCTCCAATATGCGTTTAAAGAGACTTTGTGTGTATCATGGGGTAGCTTTTAATAAAGGTCAAAGTGCTTGGCCTTCCAGGGGAAAGACGAGGATTCTAGCTTGCTTCTGGCCTCTGCTCATAATGTGAGTCTGAGATTAAAGAATTTGAATTCCAAGATAGCACCAATTCTTATGTCTGCACTGGATAATTTAGTGACTATATATTCAAAGTCTAAACTTAGAATTTTTGTGAGATCCGTGTTGCTCGTATCCATTTAACTGGATCTCTTTTTCAGTGTGATTTTACCATGATATATTTCTAGTAATAAAATGTCCTTAAAGTCAAGATGTGTATAGTGAAAATAGGTAATGTAATGACAATGTGGATCTTTTTGTGATTTTTGCAATATTTGTTTATTTTCCTTTCCATTACAACATGAATTAAAATTTAGTTTTCATCATCTTAAAATTAGTTTCTATATGGTGTTTGTTATGGAAATTAGTGTCTTTTGATGTCAAAGGACACTAACAATAGCCTACATATATGGATTGCTTATGTTCTACCTTACACAGTTGAAGTTCATTATGTGTACTCCCTCATTTAATTTTTATATCCGCTACAACATGTTGTTGTTGTCAGCCCCATTTACAGGGCAGTTAAGTGACTTTTCTAAGGTCCCTTAGTAAGCTGTAGATCCAAATTTTACACAATTTTAAAATGTGGTACAGAGTTCATCCATTCATGTACATTCATGTCTCCCTTAATGACGAAGATACATTCTGAGAAATGTGTTTTTAGGTGATTTCATCTTGTGTGTGCATCGTTGAGCGTACTTACACAAACCTAGGTGGTATAGCTTACTACATACCTAGGCTATACGTATGGCTTATTGCTTCTAGGTTACAAACCTATACAGCACATTACTGAACTAGTGTGAGGAAATAATAATACAATGGTATTTGTGTAATAAGGATTTTTCAGCAATATTACAATCTTATGGGACCACTGTTGTATATGTGGTCTGTTGTTGATAGGAACATCATTATGCAGTGCATGACTATACTTACAAAACAAAATTTCTGGCAAGGAACATATTTACCTAGCAAGTTCCATTATTGATCCTGAGAAATAAAGTTGAAGGGGTGGATTTATGTTATTATTGCCATGGCCTTGACCCTACCATCTGTCCTGAACAAGTAGTGGCATCTCCTTCAGTAGTGAGGCTTCTAACGCATAAATGGCAGGAAAGGGGTGGCTATGGTGAGATTATAGGAAGGAAACTGTCATCATTGAACACCTCTATACCATACCTTTTATGCGTCCTATGGCATCTAATGTTCTCATCAATTCTATGAGACCTAAGCAATGTGATCCTGATTTTTAATGCTGCAAAATAGTTAACTGTGGTAAAAACAGTTGAGATCTTACAAACAGAAGCCATCTATCTAACGACTGAGAGGGGATTGGAACACAGCTCTTAGTCTTCAAAACCCATATTCTTTGTCCTATACCATATGCCTGCTATTGCTCACAATTTTTAAACTTTTAATTAATTATTTTTTTCCTGTTAATGGTATCAAAGATGGACATTAAGAGGAGAAAATGGCACTAACTTGGCCATAAACACATGTACTCTTAAAGCTATTGTTGTCTCCCTCCCTTTCACCCTAGTCCCCTCTTTCTCTCTTCTCGTCGCCTCTCTTGAGCTCTGCAGTTGCTGTATCATGTTTTTCTAAACTGGTCTGCACCATTAAGAATGAAGAACATGAGGTTAATGATTCTAGTACTGTATCAAAGCATTGAGAAAATGTTACCACCAATTTTAACCACCCCACTGTTACTGGAAAAGTTTGAGTGTCTATTTGATATAGCTCAAAGATGACCAGTTTTTTGGTGTCCACATTTTATTGTCATATATTTGATTGTATAGTAATTAAATGAAGGATGCCATCTTTGTGTTCTGTAGACATATCATCTTATTGTTTATATCTCTCCAGCTAGAGACAAGAAAGGAAACTCAAAGCAATTGGGTGCTATTTCATGTTTCTGTTCCTGGTAACTCTAAATATAAAAATCAAATTCACTGTGTAATTTTATGAAACTTTTCTGTACAAGGACCAAGACTTTCATTATGAGAATAAAGTAGTGTCTTGAAAACAACAATGATATTATCCTCTGAAACTAGGAGTTGCAGGTTAACTGTTGAGCATGCTTGGGAAAGATTACAAATATTGGAATATTGGAAATAGCAAAGTAAGTGGGCTTCTTTTTGAAGTTGGTAGCTATTTTCTTTAATATTCTCCAAGGAGCTTTTCTCACAGGCTTTTTTAGTTGCTCCACAATAACAACCCATCACCCCTTCTTTTCTAACAGAATCCTAACTTGATTCAGGTATTCCCATTGTTTCTCCAGTCATGCACTTAGGAGGTCTCAGCCCCATGTTCTATCCCAGTTGTGAGTCATGGTGGCCCTGTTCTCTTTGCCTATGATTGGTTGGGCATGATCAGATGATACAGTTTGACCAGTTAGAGCCTTTTAGATGTCCCGTGGGAACGATTTCTTCAAGGACTAAAAAGAAACATATAGCATAATCAGCTAATTCTTTTTTAGTTGGATTCCTGGAATTGCTGTAGCTAACTTTTTAATACTTTTTAATATGAGGGTTATCTACCAACAGATAGCAGAAAGGAAATATGGAAAAAAAATTGGGTTCTAGACATCATTGATTTCCTGATTTATCTAACTGTAATTGTGCTCGTGAAAACTCTTTGTACAAGGACTGGTATGTTTTCAAACTAATGTCTTTATTATTTAATTTGAGGATTTTTCTTACTTGCTGTCTAGTTCCCTTCCAGCTTCACAGCTCATGCTTTACAAGGTAATGATAAAATATGCCAAGACTTCACATTTGTGGCAGTGTTCAGAATCTCAGTTGTCATCCAAGTATCATTTTTATTAACAGTTATAAAGTGATTTGATAGTGTCAAATGACAGATGCTAAGTAAAAATCATTTTCGTTATTTAAATATTATAAGTCTGTTGTCTAAATGTATGATCACAGTTTGCCTATAGCCTCAGGTATACATAATGCTACCCATGCCTTTCTCTTTTCTCTATTCATCCATTTTTGCTTAGCAATTTTTACAAGACACCTGAGTATTGGTAAATAGTAATGGCACACATTCTTTGCCTTTTGAAATTCAGCAGAATCCACAATTAAATGGATATTTTATTGCAATTGTCTTTCAGAGTTTAATCAGAGTGTATTTATTGCTGCAAATGCAGACTTATAAATAATTCCACACTCACTAAAATGCTCAAATATGGCATTCTTATCATTATCACAAATTGAGGTACCTTGAATAAAACAAAATAAGTACGGAGGATTTTCTATTTTCCACTAAATGGTATATAAGAATTACTTTTTAGATATATTTAGTGTGTTTTTGAACAAATTGAAGTTTTTCATGTGATTAAACTTGATCAAATAGATGGATCAACTTTCTCTGTAACAATGAGTAAACTTGTAGATAGTGTTCACATTTTTATGTCCAAATGTAGAAAGTTGGGCTAATGGATCACTTCTGAAATTCTTCATGTTTTTATGACATGTATTAGACTCTGCAATTATCAACACTACTTTTTCCTTATTAGTAACTTTTGAGTGGCTGAAGAAAACAATTTGCTTTGACTGTATCACTGTTTAAAAGAAAAACGATTACAGAAGGGTTGTTTTTTTTTTCTTTTTTTTTTTTGAGACGGAGTTTTGCTCTGGTTGCCCAGGCTGGAGTGCAATGGCGCAGTCTCGGCTCACTGCAAGCTCTGCCTCCCGGGTTCAAGTGATTCTCCTGCCTCAGCCTCCCGAGTAGCTGGGATTACAGGCACCCGCCACCATGCCTGGCTAATTTTTGTATTTTTACTAGAGATGGGACTTTTACCATGTTGGCCAGGCTGGTCTTGAACTCCTGACCTTGTGATCTGCCTTCCTTGGCCTCCCAAAGTGCTGGGATTACAGGCATGAGCCACCGCACCTGGCCGATTGCAGAAGTTTTATATCTCTTTTGGTCCTGTTAAACAGGAAAGAGTATATTCCAGTCTCAAAGGCAATTTCTTGAAGGACTTTTCAAGACAGAGTTCAGTATCTCAGTTTGTTTCCAAACTTGAAATTTCTCAAGTTTCAGAAACACAGACTTATTAGGCCACCAGGCTAGTGCAGCAATGTTTAGATATTTCAATCAAAGAACTGTGTTCTATTACCCTAGGATCTATGTCAAGCTGTGGATTAGGTTAAAAAACCAACAAAAGCTCCTGGTGGTTGAAAGATTCTAAGTATTTGCTACATTACTGCATTGCAGGCATGAGCACGTTCTTTCAGCGTTTTAGTTTCACAATGTTACAATTAATTAATTGTGTCTGTCTAGCAAAAACACTAGTCGGAGTTACTGTCTGCACTTTTAATAAATCCTTTGAATTCCCTTGATCTTTCCTTATTCTTATCCTCCCTGTGTACTGTAGCACAACTTTCCCAAGCCCATAAAAATCTGATTAATGGAACAAAGAATTAGACTTGAGATACCTGCTTTTGTTACTCTCCCATGCTTCTCTGACCTTGAGATCACCTTCTAAATGTACCTCAGGCTTTTTCTCTTAAAGAAGAGTAAATGAGATGATTGAAATTATAAACCATGACCACTCTTGCTATTACTAAATCGTTTACGCACATACATGCAACTTGTCATTCACTTATGTACATTCTAAACTACAGTGTTTCGTTCTAGAAAGTAGTTGATATTTCTGCATTTTTCTTCACCTTTTTCTTCTTAAGCTCCCCAGTTATATGCCTATGTCAAAATTATGCAGTAAATAAAGAGGGGGGAGAATCATGTTTATCAATTGCTCTTCCGACAATGCTTCCCCTCCTAAACTTGGAGTAGCACTTTATGGTTTCTTGCGTAAAATCAAACCTGCTCGTTGATTCTAAAACCCTCTACTAATTTAATGAAAACCAATTATTCCAACTTGCTTTGGATTCTGGTATCTAGGCTTAACCACATTTTTCGAAACACCGTGTTTGTATCCTTAATATTCTATGAATAAAACTTGATTTTTTTTTTCCATTCATGATTCAGGTTAGATGGTCTCTTCTCAGAAGTCTCCTTTACTATTCTTGGCAAATACAGAAAAGAAACAGAGCTGCTGCTATAAACCTGCTCCATCCTTGACCCCAGAAGAACTCATTGCCTTCCAGCTGTGCAGAGTGCACTTCTTAGTAGGGAGCCTGGTCTTGCTTTCACCTGGTGCTGCTGGTGTAAGCAGCCATCATGTTCAGATTCAAAGGTGGCCAAGATAGCATCCTGGGGACATGTCCCTGGAATGAAGTAGAGCCCCAGTTCTGTCCAAATGCTGCTAGGTGGAATAGGGTTGGGTGCCCTGCTGAGAGCATTGTGATTTGTGGATAGAACCTGGCAGAGAGGGCCCCGTTAGTACAGAGCCAGCTCTCTTTCCCCTTTTCTTGCGGAAGATCTGAGGTATGATGCAAAACATTGCTTCTTCCTTGTCTCACAGTTTATATGAACTCTGTTGGTGACAGGAGGATCTACCTTATTTATACTGTGGCGTGGAAGTGGAATTGAGGCTGTGACAACTTTCATCCTCAACACAGTGCCAGCTGAAAAAGTGGATGTAGTTGAGAAGAACTCAGTTCGTTTACTTCTCTAGAAAATACTGATATAAAAACTACACATAGACCATTCATTTTTGGTTGAGAATATTAGCTAAGAAGATAAAAGTGTTCCTTTCAAAAATTTTAATTGTATATCAATTAATTATTTTGCTACTAGCATTTCTGATGACAGAGGAAGGATTTCTGCGTTAAAACAGGTCAGATAATACATAGATACTGTTTTATTTACAATGCATTTAATTAATATCAAAACTACAGTTGACTTTGTGCAATAATGACAAGATTATAAGGCATTATGTTGTGCTAAGCAGGAGACTACAATTTAAGAGTTAGTCTTTTCGGGAAGAAAACATGTCCCCCTCCTCCCTTTTGTAGTTTTACGTTGAGCTAGAGAGATTGTTTTCTAAGATTCAACACCTAAAGAAAGCATTTTTTTAATATTGTTCAAAGCTGACCTCTGCTTTTAGAAAAGTTTATCTGCACTTTTTCATCTGTTTAGAAACATATATTTTTGGTTAAGAGATCGAAGACAATCTCTCTTTGTCTTTTTTTTTTCTTCTTTCCCTGAGCTAGGAAGGTTGAGATAAAAAAGAATGACTGCTTTAAAAGTCACACATGGCTGTAATTTAATATTTTTTTCCTCTCATTGTCCGTAACAGTTGAAAGAAACCTTCAATGAAAGTTTATTAACTAGGCCAATGCCTGAGGCAATAAAGGTTCATTTATTACCAGTTTCTTGGCTGTTTTTCTTCTTCTATTTTTCGGTTAAACTCATAGCGTAAGATAATACTTCACAAAATTAAACCTTTGACCTTCTGTAGAGTTAAGTCTCCTTTGATTAGATAAAGTAACAATTTATGGTCCAGCATGAGGTTGCACATGAAATGAATAATGCAACAGACTCCGTGTGGACTGAGAATCTATTGCTTTTGAAAAGATGAATGCTGTTTAAAGGGGAGAAAGTCCGCTTAAGTGTGTTGTCTTTATTCAGTATGCACTTTAGCAATATTTCAAAAGGCTTTACCTCCAAGATAAAGTTATGTTTGAATTTTCTAATTCTCATAAGAAAGATGTATGGTAAGAGTATTGCAAAAAGCTTTTGAAACTCTTTGTAGGACTGTCATACATGTCATTATGCCACATATTCCAGGTATTACAAATGGCTGAATTATGAAATCTAATAAATGCATGAGAAAAATGACCATTGATTTTACAAATGGAGTTCCAAAGGATGGGACAATTAGAATATTGTAATTTCTAATCACATTATGTGCCACTGTGAACATTGCATAAATCAAAATGATATTTAATAACTTCATCTTAAGAAGAAAAGTAACAATAATAAAATATAATAATATTAAACTGAATTTGTAATTTTTTTTTTTGAGATGGAGTCTCACTCTGTCTCCCAGGCTGGAGTGCAGTGGCGCGATCTCTGCTCACTGCAACCTCTGCCTCCCAGGTTCATGCCATTCTCCTTTCTCAGCCTCCCGAGTAGCTGGGATTACAGGCACGTGCCACTATGTCTGGCTAATTTTTGTATATTTTTTTCAGTAGAGATGGGTTTCACTGTGTTGGCCAGGCTGGTCTCGAACTCCTGACCTCAAGTGATCTGCTCGCCTCGGCCTCCCAAAGCGCTGGGATTACAGCCATGAGCCACTGCGCCCGGCCTGAGTTAGTAATTTTTAAACCAATCCATGGGAGTTCAGTCTTTGGTTATTGTGATGTATTAATGTTTGTAGATAACAGCAGTGTTTTCAATTTTGTTTTGTTTAAGTCACCTTATAAATTTGAACTGTCATAACTCATTGACAAAAAAGAGTGACTAGATGTGAAATGTTCAGATATTTCTATTTTTCTATGTTCTTTTGAACATTTTTTGGAAAAGTTAAAAAGAATCTCAAATCCATCCATGAAAACATTGTATTGGAATTACCTAATTGCTACAGAAGAGATATACGTACTTGTAGAATCAGAATTGATGTTTACTTGTATCTTCAGCCAGTGGAAGTAGAGAGATGTATACATAGCATAGGTCGGTGTTTCTCACGAAGCTTTTGTGATTAGCTGGTTATTTAAATTACTAATTGACATGCAGAAGTTGAATGCTTGAGAGAAGTGTCTTAGTTTTAGTTTGGTTCTTTTTCAATTAGCTTAAATTATTTAAGGTGAATAAATCTACTGCAGTGATTTAGTTTCTTTTAATAGAATCTCATGGTACGGTATAAATTAGGTCAAGAGAAGTCATTGGATCAGTATAACTACAGACATTGCGTCTAAAATGAAGAGATGTTAGGAAAATTGAAGATTTGCTATGACTTACAAATGTTTTGAAACAAAGTAAAAGTTCCTGTCAGAATACACAAAAGGTTCACATTTCTTGGCATGTTAGTAACTAAACATTTCTTTCTGTTGGAATAATTTTTTTGCAGCAAAAAGAGAAGTGAATAATATAATACTGCACATTGGTAATTCTTCCTGATATATAATTGCTCTGTTCCTAGGTGAGATGGGTTGAATATAATAATCAAACCTTATAAAAGAAATAAATTCAAACCTAAACACCATTTATTTTTTGAACAGTAAGGTGTGAAGTCTCCTTATAATCAGACTAAGTAATTTGTCTAAGTCACACTCAAAGAATTAAGTAACTTGACCATGATTATGAAATTGTGCCAAGATAAGGGCTTCATTCCCTTTAACATTCCACCATGTAGGAGATGCCAACCATTTGAGACTATGGACCACAACTCATATTTCATTTGAATCTTCCTTATCACATGGCACTATGTGTTTTTCTAGATTAACTAGGATTGTTTTTTTCCATAATCCAACTTTAAAACTGCAAACACAAACCTACTTTTCAAAGCACTACAACTGGCCTCTCACTATTCACGTTTTCTTTGTAACCAGATGAGGAAAACACTTACCTTGTAGGTTGATGATGGAGCTTAAATGAGATGTTGTTATAAATGCTAGACCTAATGACAAAGAAGTAAAAAATATAATGCCTCAACCACTGGTTTCTCTGTTCCTATTGTTAACCAGTGACTCTGCATGTATATTGTTCCTAGCCCACTCAGACTTTGACCTCCACTTAGAAAGAATACTGTGTGTCTGTATTCTTTATTCTATGTGTGTGTATATATATGTATGTGTACATATATTCATACATATGTATGTATATATGAATAAATTTCTTGCATGAGTCTTTTCCTTGAAAAACATTTATTTACTGTATCAGAAGACTTTTGTGGCCACGTATTTTCCAGCTATTTTTATTTAATTAGATGGCTCATCCCAAACAAGACTTACATGTAAAAATAGCCACCTCTTTTGTTTTTTTTTGTCATTTTCTGTCCTCAACAATAAACTACACATGCACAGACCCCATGTGGTACTTGGAATCTGGAAAAAGAAAAAAACAACTGAGACATTGAGGTAGAAATGGATTTAGACAAGGATTTGCATGATATTGAGAAAAGTAGAACATTTGAGGAGATTATACTTAGACTGAAATGCCAGTGAGGTTATTCTTTTGCAGGAAATTACGATTATCGTATCTTTTCCTCTTTTCACTTATTATATTGCCTGAACTATCACCAATACATTAACAAGAAGCCTCTTAACAAAACAAAAACATCGTTTAGAGTATCACACACTTTCAATCACTCTCATGCTACTTAGAGCTACCTGCGTGGAGTCAATTCACTGAGTAATTTTGGCTGATGGGTTCTGTGAGTAGTAAGAAGTATTGGGCCTTAGACCAACATGAAGATATCTAATGCCTAGTTTATTAAATAATTGAAAAAGATATAATGAGAGGGGTGCTTAAAAGAAAATTAGAGTCAAGGCATGTCAGTTCAATTTGTTTCTGGTTGGAATTTGTTTTATATTCAAGATATGCAGAGAAGAATAATTTATTTACTCTTCTTTTTATTTCTTCCTCATTGTGCCCTATGTAATACATAGGATTCAGGCACAAATTATATTGTATTTCACCAATACAGTATAGGTTAAAAGTTTTGTGCATAAAGTTCAATGGTCATTGTTTCTGTGGCAGATACACTCTAAATTCTATAAAACTGAAACACAAACATTTAGATCAGATTTCTAAGTGGAGTCAATTTATATTGGTATATTTGTGACATACCTGAGTGTCTATAACTTCGACTTTCTATACAATCCATAAGCTACTAGAGCAAAGTGGGGGTCATCTGTTTCAAAGACTCCATAGTTTACTGTCTTCTGTACTTTTCTTTTTATATTTACTCATAGAATCCGTGTGGTCAGTGCTGAACTGGGAGTAAGGCGAATTGGGATTACTCTGTGATTATTTAATGGTGTGACTTTACAGAAATGATTAACCTCATTGCCCCTAAATTTAATCATCAGTAAAATAAAAGGGTTACATTAGGTAAAGTCTTTCTAATCCCCAAGTTTTATAAGTTTAAGACCCCAAGAGGTTGTTTAGAAATATTTTTCTAAAGGTAGTAATGTTAAAGGTGGAGTAAAAGTTACATATTTAAGACCTCATAGTGCCAAGTTCAACTTTTTATAAATTAGGTAACAGTTGATTTTAAACCAAATTATAGTAATTTAAAAGTTTTTATTGATTACGTTTCAGCCTGATTTTGGGTTAGTGATCAGAAGGTGAGCTTTTCAAAAGCTTTCATAGAAGTTCCTCAGTGATTGATATGGCCAGATGACTTCCCTATGGTGTTCCTTCTTTCTGATTTCACTTCTATAACCTCTTCAGTCTGAGAAATTGAGATTTTAAGCTATCCAGAAAAAGAATGCTAAATCTGATGTCTATTTGATTTATAAGTCATTATTCATATTATAACAACATCTTTCTTACTGTATATATCTCCAAATTAGTGGGGTTTTTTTGTTGTTGTTAGTACAAACATTTAAAAAATCTAATTCAATCAGTTGAAAGACTCAAAACTGGTATAGGGAGTGTTTCCATTAATGGCCTCAAGGATCAATTTTTCTTTTTCTCTGCAGAATACAAATGTGTTTCAAAGGCCAAGAAAAGTCAGTCTAATGGACATTAAGAGAAAAGTTCACACTCAAAATCTTCAGTCTAACCAGATTTACAATTAAGTTTTTTGTTCTATCTGCTTATCATTCTGGTTATTTAATCATTCAAGAGTGAAGACATGCATGTTTCAATCACAATTTTAATTTATTTAGAAAGCATTGAGAAATAAAATAACTGAAAGTTAGTGTCAGTTTCTGACAGCTGGTATTTAAATAAGGATAGGAGGAAAACAGGGTGAAAAAAGGTACTGGTGTTTTCAAATTGTTATATTGAGCCAAGAGTTCTTCTAAGACTTGGAGTGATTTCAATTGAGTTGTAATTCAAACTCATGTGGAGCTTACAATGCACCTTCAACAGAGTTTTGCAAAGAGTCTATAGGAACTGTCAGGAGCAGAAAGATTACTTCACAGTAATGACTGTTGAATTGAACTATGCTTTTTGATGTTTTACTTTCTGAATTGAATTGTTGGACAAGATTAATTGCACACGGTGAGAGTTTTAAATGAATGACTATGTAAGGCATTAAGTTTCTCTGTATGCCACTTGGGGAAAAATAGCTGAAAGGTTTAAATGAATAAGTGTATTTAATGCACAAAATGCCTGAGCTAATTTTAAAATTCTTTTGCTAACATCCTTATTGAAAATAGAAACCCACTTTATTCATCTGTCTTGGTTATATTGCTCTGGTTGAAGTAATTTAATATTCCTGCTTTCCACTAATCTTCTAGTTCAACAGAAGTAAACAATAGGTTTCATAAATTAAAAATACACTCTTCTGAACATGCTTATAAGATTAAAAAAACAAGGCTGTAAACATTTATGACTGAAACAAACTAGATTGTTCAAATACTGCCATGATGTATCATGTATATGAATATGGCACTGATATCAGTTAGAATGCAAACAAGGTTTTAAATGATGTGCCCCTTCATTTCAGCTGGAGAATCCGCTTCACACCATCTGCCTATCAGATGGTTAGGAACCAGGACTGCGTATTAATGCCACATGTTCGATTTTCCTCCTTCTTGTAATGGTTAGATTCATATTGCTAATAGCTGTGCATGAGCACTGTCGACGAAATTTCTGTGACGGTGGAGTGATGAGATATTTATAAGCCGCCTGTCTCTCTGAATAATCAGTAGGAAGAATGCCAGACATAAATAACTTATCAATTCCAAAATAATAACTACCATTGGCTATAATCTACTGCATGTTTAAAATGGTTTTGTTTAAATGTAAGCAAACTAACACAAACTAATAACAAGTCTATCATATGGAAAGTTTGAATACGTAACATCTCTTGGATATAACCCATTTTATTTAACTATTAAATTTGAGGAAATGCATTTTATATGGAATGCAATGTAAAAGTAGACAATATATCAAACATTTGGAAGTCATCTTGATGTCTTTGAAACCAAAGATCAAAGATTGGGCCTTTCAAGTTAATGAGCAAACAAACAGATCAGAGAAAGAATTTGACAGCAATATGTCTCTTTTATTGATATCTATAATCTACAATTGTAATCTTCTATTTATAAGTAAGGGTACTAACTTATTTGAAATAAATAAAATGGAGATAGTTTTCCATTTTTTTAAAGAGAGTAATCAGGATTGTATAATGGCATTTGAAGAATTTAAAGGCCGTTTTAATAAAGGTTGAAAGCAGAAGAAAAACACTATCTTTAAAAAGTGAAAGAATATTCTAACTAGTAAAAATGCCTGCATCTCTTCCAAAAGATATATCCATGGATTGGTTTTAGAATATAGAATTTAAACTAGTGAAGGCTTTGTCTTAATACAGCATGGAGTGAAGATTTAGTGATTTTATGATAAATCTGATCAATGTAGAGAGCCAAATCCAATGATTTGATGGAAACCTGATTTTTAGATATCCGTTTGCCAAATGGCTACATTCTCACCCTATGCTGTTAGGTACTTTTTGTCCTATTTGCACCTTTGTAATTGAACAAAGGTAAAACTAAACATAGAGACATGATGGATCGTATGAGTTACTTCACAGTTTCAGTGAGCATTTATGGAGGGGGAGGGCTTGATGTGTGCCCAGGCTGTTGCACGTTATTTCACCTTCATTCTTCACAACACACCTGTGAGGTCAGAATTGTTATCCCTCTGTTTAGAGATGAAAATTTTGAAGCATGGGACATTATATAACTCGCTGCGCCATCCCAGATAAGTTAGATGCATCTTGTCCAAAGTTTGCATGGCTCTTTGGGGTGTCTCTCTCCCCCCAGCCACTGTATTATACATATTTCTTATAAGAGAGTGAGTCTAGACTACAAATAACTTCTATGCTGGTCAGTAATTTAGCAGGAATCTTAAAATACTTTAGTGGAATATCAAAAAGTGAGAATAAAAGTAAAAGAAATTGACTAGCAAAGGTAAAAATTTTTAACAATAGCCCATTTTTAAAAAAAATCTATAATTTACTCTGAAGAAGCAAGCATAAGTTTGCATCATAATTCAGATAGTAATATGACAAGCCACGTTTCTAAGTTCTGTGTAAAAATTTGCTCATTCTTTTAAATTTGCAAGTGATAGTTTGTCAAGATTCAATAGGAAAGAAAAAGAAATCTAAATACATTGCACCACTTAAGGCAGGTAGTGTATTAACCCAAGTTTGATATACAGTTCTTTTCCTGAAGACCAATTGGAGGCCTAGAAGAGAGAACACAATATATGACTTATTATCTTTCCACTGAAGGAAAACTTTTTTTTTTTAAAGAAACCTTTCTCAATCCATTTTTACGCAGTGAAAAATTATTATTATTATTATTATTATTATTATTATTTTTACTTTGTGTTGTTTTGTTCTGTTAGAAAAGATTTTTAAAGTCATCGTTTCTTGTTTGGAAACTGATGAAGGAATTATAAAGCATCTCTAGCTAATCAAAGTAGTTTAACTTGTGCTCACAGGATTCACTGCCTAGGATCTCAACCTCCTAAAAACATCTGGAAAATGAACTTTAAATATGCATTAAAGTTTCTCCATTTCTGATGATAAAATTAGATTTAGAATCTTTTAAAATAAAATTTAGACTTCCTTTGACTTCTCAGTTCAGTACATTTTTGTCTTGGTGTAGGAGATACTTTTATGCAATGTGTTTTTATGCAAAACCACAGATTCCTTAGTCCATTTCAGAAATATTCTGTGGATGTGGGCTTGGAGAACATCACTTCTGTCTTTATCATGCACTGCAGCTGATTGCCTAGTTCTGAGGGAGAAATGGGTTGCTTGAATGAAAAAATGTAAAAGCAGGGTGGGCGCAGTGGCTCATGCCTGTAATCCCTGCACTTTGGGAAGCTGAGACGGGTGGATCACCAGAGATCAGGAGTTCGAGACCAGCCTATCCAACATGGTGAAACCCCATCTCTACTAAAAATACCCCAAAAATTAGCCAGACCTGGTGGTGTTTGCCTATAATCCCAGCTACTCGGGAGGCTGAGGCAGGAGAATTGCTTGAACCCGGAAGGTGGAGGTTGCAGTGAGACGAGATCCCACTACTGCACTCCAGCCTGGGTGACAGAGTGAGACTCTCTCAAAAAAGAAAAGAAAAGAAAAATGTAAAAGCAGTGGTAATTTGTAGTATAAGACAATTCAAAGTGGGATATGGAAGAGGGGGGAGGGTAGCAAAAATTTCCCTGAATCTGAAGACAGGGGAGAAGATCTATGATAAGTGAAGAAAGGAAGGAAAAGGGTGTGGCAAATGTTATGGGTTGCCAGTGTTTACACCAGTGGACAATTCTTGATTAAATAGAAATGTTGTTATAGTTTATATTCTCTATTTAGTATAGACCAAAGACTTAAGTTATTTTGTGAATTTATTACATGAATTTTTTTGTTGTTGTTTTTAAGGCAACTTTGTTTGGGAACAACATATACAATGAGACCTCTATTTAAGGCTACTGTATAGATTGTAAGCTATGTTTTTAGAGACAGGAAATTGGAAGGGATTTGAGAATTACATCAGGGATTTGAAAGGACCATTGCAAGGCCAACAGGAAGTTCAATAAATGCAGAGTGGGTTGAGGGTGGTGAATCTTTTGTGATCCTCTCCAGCCCTAGGCAAGACATACCTTTGGAGAGTCATGCTTTATATTAAGTTAATGAGATTTGTTATTCTTAGTCTATACACACTTAATGTAACATAACAATAATGTTTTAAATTACTTTCCATTGACATTGCCAAAATAATGACCATGTTTCTCCTGTGGCTTTCCATGTAATCTAATTTGATAAGGATTTGTTCATTCAGTGACAATATGTGCCAAGCACCGCAGCAGATGTTTGGGATATATATACGAAGAAAGTATTTCTGCCCTTTTAGTGCTATGACCTAGTTAGAGGTCAGAATCCTAATCCTACTCTCCTTGGCCCCAGCCCCCAGAAAAGAGCAATAAAGAGTTTAAGAGACTGTTTTTCTCTACTGGAATTGCTTATTAAAATGACCTGTAGAATAGTAAGATTAACCAGATATATACAGTTGCAGAGGCCTCAAACCAGACCTGATGATTCAGAATCTCAGATGCTAGGGCTGAGCTATTTGCATAGTTTAAAACTCCATGGGTGACTCTGATGCACAGCTAGGGATGGCAGACTCACATACAGCAGGGTTGATGCAAACACAAGCAAGTGGGGTAGATTGGGGAAGGTCAGGTACAGCTCTTTAAAAGAGTAAGCCATGAGCTAATTCTTGAGATGTTGAGAGCTCTTTCCTAGGTAGATAGTTAAGAGTCAGGAACCTGAGCCTCCAGCTCTGAGCGCATAATATTTAAGTGATGACATGAAGAAGGCATAGGCAAGTCCGGGGCCAGGACATAGAGGGCTTTTCTGGAAAGTGAGAACAGAATATGCAAAGACTGACTTAAAAGAAGGAATGAAGTCGTTTGCTAGTGAAAAGGAAAGAAGGCCTATGTACCTGGAGCACAGAGAGCAAGGGGGAGCCGGAGGAGCAGGAATACATACAGATAGGCAGGGAACTGAGAACAAAGGGCGCTGACAGCCATGAGAAGCACTGGACTGGATCCTAAGAGCAAGCATTGAATATATATTCAAATCCTCACTTTCAGGCCAGGTGCCGTGGCTCATGCCTGTAATCCCAGCTCTTCAGGAAGCCAAGGCAGGTGGATCACTTGAGGTTAGGAATTCGAGACCAGCCTGGCCAACATGGTGAAACCCCGTCTCTACAAAAAATACAAAAATGAGCTAGGCATGGTGGTGGGTGCATGTAATCCCAGCTACTCGGGAGGCTGAGACAGAAGAAGAGCTTGAACCCTGGAGGCGGAGGTTGGAGTGAGCAGAGATCACGCCATTGCACTCCAGCCTGGGTGACAGAAGGAGACTCTGTCTCAAAAGAAAAAAAAAAAAAAGGAAGAAAAAAGAAAAAATCTTCGCTTTCATGAGGTTTGGCTGACTATGACATGGATAGTAAGAGATTGGAGATGGGGGACGTGCTATTATATTGAGCAGGACTCTAAGAAAGAAAAGATGGGAACTTGTACTGGTGGGGAGGGGCAGTGGGAATGGAGAAAATTAGTTGAATTGGAAAGATATTAAATAATTAGAATTGAGAACCCATCAAACAGCCAGGTGAGTTAGTGAAACTAAAATCAGCAATTGTTGCATATGTCATAGCTTGCTTTCTGCTTTCATAAAACTGGGCTAAAAGTAGAATATTAAAAAGTGTTGTAGTTAAGTTACAGCATGTAAAAGTGTATGAGTGTGTGTGTGTGTGTGTGTCAGTGACACACATATATCTTTTGGACTTTGTATTAGAAATGTAAAACTGGGAAAAGCTGTCATAGAAAAATAAAGGAGTACTATAAATAAATCAGCTAAATAATAAAATCATAAAGAATATTTTTAAAAGTCAGGGGCTAATCCAGTCACCTAAGGACAAATGTGATTATTCTAGCTGAGAGGGCTGTGTCAGGCCACAGATACTCTGCAGAAATTATAGTGAGGCCAAGCCTTTCTTTTTAACAAACTAGAATGAATAGCATGCCTAATGTTTACTAAACATGATGTGGCATTCCTCACATAGTTTATTTTATTTATCCTTATATTTTTTCTTGGGGATTAGAATGGTTTTACAGGTGAAAAAATTATATTCAAGATAATTGGATGGTTGGTCCAAGGCCATATCATGCATAGTCATGGTTCCTGGTACTTAATTTGATTTGGATCTCTCTGATAATAGTGAGTTGTAAGTTTACCTTTATTATTTGAATACTGTGAACAAGTTTTCCCTGCAGCACAAATCCAAGACAAAGACTTTTGAAGTCATAAATTGGAGATGGGTCAACATCAGGTAACCAAGGAAAAATGGGATGTTCACATTGGTGACAAAACAAAATTGAGGAAGAAAGATTTGCTGGAAAACACAAAGAGACTTTTAAGAGAACAGGAAAGAAAATTTTCTGAAACATCTTTGAAGGAAATGAGTAATTGGGGAGAAAATTCAATCATAGGAAGATGAGAGAATCAGTTCAAGTTGAGACTTAAAAGGCAATGAATGTTCAGATCAAACCCAGATGGATTCTTTGAGTTTAGATTAGTGCCTTTTAAGGGGTGATTATCAGTTTTTCATGTAAAGACCCAATCTGAAGGTCTTGTTGCGTTGGGGTGAAAGTTGTCAGGGCCTCTTTGGTCTGATCTGAAGGAAAGGTGAAGTCTTCTTCTAACCTCTAAAAAGCCAGCAGAGATTTTCATGGAAAAATACTTCCTTATAATTCCTTGGGCAGTAACTTATTTGCTAGAATAACTAGAAGTGATGATTAGTGGGGAGGAAAAGGAGGAGAGCGGTGCTCAGGCTCTAATCCACCAGCTGGGATTGGAAATAAATCACACAGATAAATTCGAACGGCTGGAGCACTGTAGTCAAAAATACTAAAGAAGCCACAGTAAAAAAAAAAAAAAAAAAAATGGGTGGGGTTGGGGATATTTATCTTCTCATAGACTTAAGGTTTTAGAATTAGGAGAGATCATTTATACATTCCAGTGTCTGTCATTTTGCAGATGAGGGATGTCAGCCTGAAGTGAACTGACTTGGCAAAAGTTCACACATTTAAGCAAGACAAACCACTCCCCTGCTCAAAAACCTCTGCTTATTATCTCTCTATATAAATATATAAAGTCAGAACAGCATGGTCTTAATTCTGATCTTCCGAGATCTTGTCTCAAACTCTGTTTCTTTTCTTTTTTTTTGTCTTTTTCTTTTCTTTCCTTTTCTTTTCTCTTCCTTTCTTTTCTTTTTTTGGGACAGAGTCTCACTCTGTCACCCAAGTGTGCTCACAGCTTACTGCAGCCTCAACCTCCTAGGCTCAACTGATTCTCCTACCTCAGCCTCCTGAGTAGCAGAACTACAGGCACAGGCCAGCATGCCCAGCTACTTTTTGTATTTTTTGTAGAGAGGGGGTTTTATCCTGTTGCCCAGGCTTGTCTCAAACTCCTGGGCTCAAGGGATCCGCCTGTCTCTGCCTCCCAAAGTGCTGGGATTATAGGCATGTGCTACTGCACCCGGCTCAAACTCTATTTCTAATTTAATGTCTGCCTCTACCCCCTGTTCTCTGGATGGATGAAGATGAACTATTCTGGACAAATTTTCTTTGCATAGTGGTTCAAAGTGTCAACTCCGAGGCCAGAGTGTGCTGTTTCAAATCCTGTGCCATGGTTTTCTAATCTGTAAAGTAAGGATAATAGTGATCAATCACAGAGGGTTATTAAGATGATTAAGCTACTTTTATGTCACTTAAATCAGCACTTAAATTTCATAACTAGAAGCTAAGTGTTAGCTTTCATTACATTGTATTTTATTTTTTAACACCTTAAACACTGGGAATAGCAAGCTGTGTAGCAACACATGCTTCCTGCCATTGAGTAGTTCACAATCTAGTGAGGAAAACAGGTGTCCCAACAGACCATTCCAGTGCAGGGTGGCATGTCCTATAACAGCAGCACAGGTATAAACGTGGGTCAGGGGGAGAAGAACAGACCAGGCATCCAGGCAGCTGGGGGCCATGGAATGGGAAGACTTCTAATGAGTAGCTTTTTTCAGGAGGATGAAAAGTCAAGGAAATGTTTGTCATAGGGCAAGAAGGTTCCAGGCAAAAGGGAATGGCATGTGTGAAAGCACATGCTTGAAGATGCAGGTCATGTATGGGTAATGGTGACATCTGTGATATAGCCAGGGTGTGGATGACAATGAAGAAACTGGGTGAGGAAGTAGGTTTACACTCCTTGTGAAAGGCCTTGTGGATTCAGTTAACAGTTCAGATTTTTCCCTCCGTGTAGGCAGCTACAGGGGATTTTAAGCAGGAAAAGACATATTTAGATTCGTAGATTGGTTTCTTTAAGAGATAACTGTCGCTGCATTTCCACTATTAGCCTTCTACCTGTGAATTGTGTTTCTGTTAATATTTAATTTTGGACTGTAGCAATCAATCTCCCCCTTATATCAATGTTGTTTCATTGTCTAGTTGGGAATGAGTATAAGTTATCAAAGTGTTGCATAAAGGAATCAGATACTCTAATAAATGTTTGTATGTTGGTTATAGCAAGTACAGGAACTATTAAATGAAAAATCAGAATTTGAATTACCTCATTTTTAATTTATTCTTTTAAGGTCTGACAGCAGCCGCTGCAGCAGCTGCTGCTGCTACCAATGCAGCTATTGCTGAAGCAATGAAGGTGAAAAAAATCAAATTAGAAGCCATGAGCAACTATCATGCCAGTAATAACCAACATGGAGCAGACTCTGAAAACGGGGACATGAATTCAAGTGTCGGTAAGTTTTATGTTCGCTGAAACTTATTGTGATCACTTTGCTACTGAATTACAGTAAATGCTTTTCCAGAACAAAACTGTTGGCTACCCATTCAAAAAGTTGGCACTTTTAGCTTGAAAACACTGTATGTTTGAGGATACCATTTTGCCTCTCTAACAACTAATGATAATTGTTCATTCTAAAGGAATAATTAGCAACATTATTTTTAATTATAGGATCAACTTTATGTCTGCAACTTCTAAAATCATTCAGCTAACATCTTTTATAATACAAAGTTTAATCAAGAGAATTCTAAAACATTGAGAGTAGCTAAGGTGACAGAGAAATATGTACAAAGGAAACCCTAGACTTTACTTTTTTATTCTTTTAATCCATTTGTTATCAAGTAAGAAACTTACTACCATTGGCAGCAAAACATATAAACTTAGCCCTTTCATATGCTGCCCAGAATACAGATTATGTTGATGATTAATTCTTTCTATAGATAATGGTTACCAAGGTCTCTCCTTTTAAAAATATGACTTTAATTTTCTTGATTTTTTTTCTTTCCTACCATATGGAGAAAGATGAAAAGTTAACTGTCACTGTCAAACCAAAAGGGACAGTTTTACCTGTGCCAACTATCCATTTGGGTAATTCATTTTGTCAAACACAACTTCAAATATGGGTTAATTTTTGTATTAATGAAATCCTTAGCATCTGGATGTTGTGGGGCAAAACATTTTTTTTCTGCTATTGCACTTGTATTGTTTCTCTTTAAAATACAGTGACCATGCTCAAAATATAATTAACAAGAGAAATTTGGATACTACAAGATGTATGCAAGATACTATAGCCAATGTATATTTATGAAGACCCTAATAACTCACGGCCATTCAGTTAAATTCTCTTTTCCATGCAGCATTTTCATAGATTATTTCTTAAGTTAATTGTCAGCTCTCTACTTTCAATCCATTAAGACATAGTTAAGGGTATATAAAGGAATACTGTGGATTTTAGTAACAATCATTTTCACAAGAGCTGTCTGGAAACATACACAGACATGAATATTAGAGTAAAATATATAGACAAAACACAAAATACTGTTTCAGTGATGCTAAAAGGCAGCTTTTGTAATGTAAAAAGGGGAAAAATGCATCTTTTCAGCACAACTATGTAAGGGAAATTGCAAAGGACCAGCAGTAGTGGATTTGAATGGAGAGTAGGTGTGAGTGCGAGTTCCTAGACGGATGAAAAGACATGGAAGAGAGCCAAAAGAGATGGCCCTACAACTGCAGAGGACTAAGGATAATATCTGTGCTCATGTTTGTAATGCTCCTGGAGGGAAGACAGGGAGGGATGAGGATTGTTTCGGTCATGGTTTACACACATATATTTAGACATTTAAAAATTAAAACAGAATTGAAGCAAAATGCAAGAATTATAATTCTGTTTTTAGAACTATTACTTTAAAGTAAAAGCCTTTTATTAGACTGAGAAAATGGGGCACTGTTGGACACTTTTTAAAACAAGTAATTAGCCACTTATACATTATATCTATTATTACAAAACAATCTGGATTGTTTTCAAAATTTTAGAAAAGGAGGCTGTTCATGAAGGCTGTTCTTAATAGTTGGTTTTATGAGAAGGGATTCTTAAAATAGGCAATTTAACAACATTTAAAGCAAAACACATTAAAACATGGTATCTCTGTTTGAATTTTCCAGAGCAGAAGTTGGCTTTGCAGAAATCAACAGGCATAAGATAAAGAGAACATGGTTCATAATTAAGCATCAACATATTTTTCATATTTGATAGTACATGACAATATTTGCCTACTAACCAAATTGTAGCTTACTTTAATTATTTTGGTACGTAGCCTATCGCAATGACTTAAAAACAAACAATTTGAATTTTCTTTTGTATTTTAGCTGGAATAAATGACTTTTTTTCATTAAGGTATGCAGTTGATGGATATTACTATTTTTTAGTTTTGACACCCCCCATCCAACGCCAAAATGAACCAAGAGCAGAAATTTACTTGAATTTTCCTAGAAAGTCTTAATAGTTTGAGATTGTGCTAACATAATATCGGTGTTGCTGCTAGTCCCTAAGGCATTCAGGTCATTTATATTAGATATCTGTAGCTGATTTGGGCAAAAAGATGTTATCATTGTAATTTTCATCCTATTCTCACATGCTGCTGTCCTCTAAGAATTTCCAATTTATAATATCCTTCCTGAACACCTTCACCCCAGGTATATATCTAGAGATCAAGTAAAGTGATTTTGGGAGGGATGTGGTAATGGGGGAGGTACAAAGCAGTGGTGAAGGTGGGGGTTGAGCTGCATCAAAGATCAAAGCAATTCCTGAATTGCAGCTTTGATGGCCACAATCTTCTCTGGTTCTGAGGACAATGCCTGCCTCTTGGTAAGTGTTCAGTAATGACTTGCTCTGTGACTTTGTAAAGTATGTAAACTTTCTGAGCCCAAAACTCCATATCTGAAAAATGGCATAAATAATAGTATCATATCATGAGAATTAAAATACTTGTCACATTATTTATTACAATGTCTGCTTATCAAGTTGTTTGGTCATCAGTAAGGTTGGTAGATTGGGGATTGCTTTTGCTATTATTATTATGATTTCTTCAAATCTGTCCTCCTGGAAATCACCTTCTTCCTTTCTTACCACCATCAACTGCTTCCACCTGCTTTTCCATTGTCTCTGGTAGCTATTACTTGCTAAGCTGCAGGCCTGTGAGGAGATTTCAGGGCAGCTGTTGCATCTTAGAGATTTTGTAGGACATTCAATATTAGCTCATTCTAGGAATACAAAAATAATCACAACACAGGCCCAGGACTCAGGGGCATACAGTCTATGGATGAGATAGGTAGGTAAGCAGGCAGTCATAACAGGATGTGCTGAATCCTCCAGGAGAACCGATTACCATGAAGTGGTTAGGAAGCGGTGCTGAAGCACATGAATTCTAGAAGGAATCCCAAGAATCTCCAAGGCCTATATTTTAGAATACAGACTGCTCTCATGAATCTATCAACTGTTGACTCTTTGAAGTAGTGAAACCCTTCAGAGGGGTGCTACTTAAATGATGTATTGTTGCTACTCAGTCTTGCCCAAATCCGGTGACATTTCTGAAGACAATTCAAGGCTCTTGTTTTCTCCTGCACTCATCTAGCTCATAAGTTCTGTTAAACATTTTAGGCTTTTTTTTTTTTTTTTTGTAAGAGCGTTGTTTTTTTCCTTGATTGTAAATGAATCCTTAAAGCCCCAGATAACAGATTATGTTTTTGCTTTGTTTGGTTTGATTTGCTGGGTAAGACGACAGGAAAAATTTGTATCACACAACCCTTCCCGGTTCATAATAGGAACCTTAGAAATTAGCCAGAAAAAGATGTTTAAAGAAAGCTTTGACAATGGTGAATAATTATTTTATATCCCAATTTTACATGGTAACCTTGAGCTCATATCTTTCCAACAAAATGATCACTTTAGGAGGAAGTGAGCACCTGAGGATAGATCCGAGTGAGGCATCAGCACACTGAGTAAAATATATGGCCATGTCGCCATTCTCCCTCATCCACAATCAATTGGATTCTTTTAGTTTAATATTTACTTGCTAAGATGAGATGCTAGTCTGCATGGTGATAAACAGTCTGCTCTTGGCATCTGAAGGTGACCTGTCAGTTCATATGGACAAATCTCCTGCTTACTGAAATGTACAAAATAAATCATTAAAGCAGGCAGGTGCTCATTCCCAGATTTAAATCACCATAGATTTATGATTTGAATTAATGCTTCATTTGGCCATAGAAATAGATGCTGAGACAGATGATATGCACTGGTTGGGGTTTCCATACTGTAGCCATCCTGATATTGATTACTGAGATGTCTTTGCAATCTCTTGTTTATATCAAGTACTATCTTGTGACAGGTTGGCTGATATGAGCTACATTGCAGATAAGAAGGAAAAATGTCCTGGATTCTTTTTAGTGGCAACACTATCCACAACATACAGGCCAGATAAGTTGCTATTTTTTTTGCTTTAAGGACTGATCTACATAACCAGCTTAAAAAATGCTGCTTGGAAATTGGGACTGGGATAATGCAAAGGCGGAATTTAAAACCGGTGAACCCAAGGTCAATTTGATAGTGTCTATAGCTATGTTTTAATCTGTTTATCCTTTTTTTGGCATTATGCACACTTTTGAGAATACTAAATTAATCACAATCAGTTTAATCTAAATAAAGGAAACTTAATTTTACTTCTAGTTTTTAAATAGTATATAAATATTGACATAGTGAGCATCTCTTAATCGTTTCTATGTTATTTAAATACTTGCTAAACCTAGTATCTTACTCCCTTCCTTAATGACAACAAAGGAAGTAACTCTTTAAAGATAAATACATTAAATATTATTCCCAAGTGCAACATTTTGTGGAGTATAATTTACCAAGAGGCAGGAAAAGACTGCATTTTTACTTCTCTTAACATTTTATTTAAGGAAAACACTATGTATACAGTTTAAAAAATACTTGGAGGATTTAAGAGGGACCTTTGCCACTAGCTAATATCTGACTCATAGAACTGGTAAACAGCTATCAACAATAGTAGATTGCTTGCTTAGTAGGAAATGAGTTCATATCTATTCAAAATGTAATCTCAAAACAGATGTCCCAAGAAAATCTCATTGTTTAAACCATAGTCATAACCTTCTAACTGCTGTAATTTCTTTAAGGAAGGGAAGTACTTGTAAGACTTTAGTATTTTCTCTTTCTGAACATTGTGGAACATAGGCAAGGGTACACTAATGCCCTGATCAACAAACCTGAACACATTTCACATGCTCAAAACATATGATTGTTTTTCATTTTCTCAAACTTGTAATCGTTACAAGAATGTAGAAGTTTCAAGTAAGATTAAGGACTTGAGTTTGAGAATAAAGCCGTCACCTTCAAGGGTATTTATCACTCCTTAGTTCTTCTATTCCTCAACCAATAAAACAAAACAAATATATGAAGGGAAAAAAAGCCAGGCAGTTAAAGAGATAAAATTATCTTCTTCAGCTCACCCTACTCTTATCTTTCTTTAATTTTAACCATTCCTGCAGAAACAAAATAGTTTATGCTGGAGTCATTTCCTTTCTTCTAACACATGTGTCTATTTGGAAGGAAAAGATTAATTTTATGATTTCAGGAAAAACTCTTGGAGACCTTGAGAAAGCAAATAAAAGGAAACTGAGAACGCAGGCCACCAAGCAGAGCTCTGCAATTGCACATTGGATTCTCTGCCTTGGCAATGTTAATGAACCTCAAATCCTTCCTATAATTAGATGAGGGAATTGCTTATATTTTCAAACAGATGATGCTGCTATAATGAAACGATTGACAGGGAATTTAAGAGTGTCTACAGTAGTCATTTGGTTTCTGTTATAAAAAAAAAGTTTAAAAAGAAGATTGGCTTTAGACATAGGTCCTGAGAGAGGTAGTAATTTACATAGCATGCTATGACAGGTGTCTTTGTATAGTAAGGAAATAAAATGGAAGACTAGAGAAATGATGGGCAGGTATAGCAATTTTTTCAGGGAGGGGGTGTCCTATGCTTATTCTGCTTAGGTTCTTTAAAAGGGGCCGAGACTCAAGAGATGGAGCCGGATTGAGTGCACAGCTGTAACTGCTGATGAGCTAATTGCTCCTTATCTCTCAGCCCCATTCATCTTCATTTTTTACCAATTACTGAGAATTATCTGTGTTCTCAGTTGGATATGAGAGTTAATCCTTTTTGGTTAAGCTGGCAGTACTGTGAGCAGATTCCAAATCGGAGGGTGAAAAAGCCAAAGCAAGCTTGCTCTAAAAATGTCTCCAGTTCAATTACAGTATCACTGATTCACAAGAAATTTGCTATTGTTTAACAGATTAAATGTAGAAAGTTTTTTTGTTTGTTTGTTTGTTTGTTTTGGTAACTAGAATGTTTTTCTGCCTAACAATGATTTTTAAGATCTTTCTTCCTGCCTGGTGAGTAAAACTTAACAATATTAACAGCCAGTCTTGTAAACGTGGAGCATATACAAGACTACCCTAAAAGTCCAGAAAGATTCTGACACATGAAATGAGAAATATTTTAGAACTGATAGCTGTCAATTAATATATAAGTAGTTTAATTAATGAATTTGCTCTCTGTAGCTTCACATGTGGTCAAGAAAGTATGTTCAAATATAAATCTTTTCACAAATGTCCCATTAGTGGATATTTTAATGGAAGACCACATAAGCATCTCTTAAAAGTATAGGAACCACCATGGTTTGTAATTCAATTGATTAAGAATAGGCCATATGGTTAATATCATCCCCTATGCAAAAGATATCTTCATATCCTGAAATTTTTACACAAAATTGCTTACCCCAATAATAAAAGACAAAAAATGTACTAAGCTACTATTCCATCAATTTAAATGCATTTTTAAATATTTACTATTTATGGCAATTTTTCTTCATTATGTATTTTAAACAAGATAGAGAATTACCAGTTTGACAATGATTAGGAATGTTGTTATTAAAACAGTATGTGCACTTCACTTTCAACAGCTTTGAATTAGAGTCTAATGTGAAAATCTAAAGGATAAATGGCTAATTTAATACAAGATTATCAAAACATCATTGTGTAAAATGTGAATATGTTATTGTGTGACCAAGTAAGTCCTTCTAGACACAGCCAAAAACTCAGGTAGGGGAGCAGAGAGCAAAATAAGTCAGAAGATTTAGCTTCCAGTAATAATGTAGTTAATAAATAACTTAACTACTTAGATAAGTCACTTAACTGCTCGTCTTTTTTATTTAATAAATAAGGAATTTTTGCCTAATTTCTCTGTTGGCTCTAAAATTCTTTGATTTTTGAAACCTCAATAAAAGATAAAGGGCAAAAAGATATTTTTGACAGTAATTTTTAAAATAAAAAATCAGAAGTAACCACATGTTCCAAAACAAGGCATCCTTAAGTATACTATAACATCTATTTACATATTATGCAAGCATTATATGATGGATAAGTATTGACAGTATTTATTTTGAATATAAAAAAAGGATGATGCCACTTTTTCTACCTTGGTACTATGTATCCTTTTCATTAGGGTTTGGAAGAGGCTAAATAAGAGTTAACATTGCTATGTTATTGTGGAAAAATTATGAATATTAAAAAATATAGCTTAAATTAGATTATTTTAAAATGTCATATGAGTATATTAATAACTGATCATTTTATGAAGCTCTTTTTCATTATTTTCTAGAAATTGGATAGCATTATTCTGCATTTTCTCTCATAATTTGTTTTTGATCTTTATTGTTCATGTAAAGGAATAGAAACATTAATGATGGCAACAGGTGACTGTGGAAAAATACATTTCTATATTAAAAAAATCATTTTTCACTTTGAAATATTTGAACACATATTCTTAAATCCATTTCTATATGTAATAAAATCATTACAGCATGATTTATAACATGTACTAGTTTCCTATATAAACTATTAAATGTATTTTTGATGCAGATAAGCAGAAGGCAGAAAATATTTTTATTTTTGAATGTGATGTCTATTCCACTTCATGAAAACTTTTTTTTACTTATATGGACAGTTGGAGAACATAATTCAAAAATATTATGCAATGTTTTTGTTTTGATTTCAATATTGCTAATTCTAACTAATGACTAGATAATAGAGTAAACCTGTTAATTCAAGCATATCATATTAGGAAATAAAAGTTAAGTGATTTTATTTGACACTATATCCTCATGTAATTATAAAATATAAGGATGTATATAGGATGTATCATATATATAGGATATATCCTAATGAATATGTTATGTGGTAGACTCCATTACATTCCAGGAGGATGAATATGTTTTCATCATGGAAAGTCCTGGAAATGGTAATTATCAACCTACAAAAACATGCTATACTGTTTACGTAAAGTTTGTAAAGAAAGTAAAAAGAAACCACATATTTCAGTGTAAAATAACCCCAGGTCATATTCAATTTGTTTAAGATCAGACAATTCTTTTTTTCTTCATTAATATGATACTCGATTGTTTTATATTTGAATTTCATATGATTGATGATGAGGGATTAAAATAAATATTTAACTTTGTTTTATAAAATATAATGTTTGCTAATACATATTTTTAAATATCTCATAATGTCTTGATATTAAAAATATATGTTTAGAGATTTTACTAGGGTGTTTGTAGTCCAATATTGTTTTGAATGTGTGCACACAAGCTTATAACTCTGAGCCCAATGCACCTGTCACCAGACCTAGTATTTCACATTCACGTGACCGTGATTCATCTCTCAGTTGTACAAATATTCCCAAATTATACAAAACCATTTGTATCAATCATGACATGTGAAATCTAATATAAAATAGTGAAACTAAGCGATAATAAATAAATAATATAGTAGTTGACATAAATGTCTAAAAATGTCAATTCATTAAGATGAAATAATGTAGCACACATAGTTTTGCGTGCTCTTTATGCCCCATCCCCACTAAATGAACCCAGATAATTTGGAAGATAGGAAAGAACGGAGGATTTAAATATGGTTTTCTTTAACAGCAGGTCATAATGGAAACACAGACCCTTACATTCAGTGCTGAGAGAATTACCAGTTTGATAATGATTAGGAATGTTGT
The DNA here is from genome assembly GCF_000001405.40 of Homo sapiens. Taxonomy (NCBI): domain Eukaryota; kingdom Metazoa; phylum Chordata; class Mammalia; order Primates; family Hominidae; genus Homo; species Homo sapiens. The sequence continues at coordinate 71,621,872 of NC_000013.11, read as the reverse complement.
TATTAAAACAGTATGTGCAGTTCATTTTCAACAGTTTTGAATTAGAGTCTGCACTAATGAAACGGATACGGTTTCCTTCACAAAGGGCAGATCTGTTAGTTAATATCGCTGCAGCAGTGCCTCGCAGACCATGCCTTTAGCTCTATTTGTATTTCACAGCATGATAAGCAAAGAGTGTTGATTTTCAAGGATCCTGCTGATGAAAGGTAATGGCATTATTACATCTTTATCTCAAAAGCAGAACTGAGTGGTAAATGATTTTTTTCTATGTTGCACAAAAGATTTCTTGGTTAGAAAGCCTTTTTTATTTCTTTACATCGTTTTAGTCTTGGAAATGATATGTTATTATTTAATGTCTGCACAGCAAGCTTGAAAGCACCTAATAGCGAATGGATTGGAAGTGAAGTACCTCCTGCTCACAGATATGGATCTTCTCAGTCACACGCTGTACCAGCTGTCATCCCAGCCATACTGCTGTGATTTAATTAGTCTGTTTATGTCCTTTCTAATAATATTTCCATCTCTATGAAAGGGCAAATGCGACAGGGACTTTTTCCCTTTTTGGTTCTGCAGACTAAAGAATGTGGCCTATATCTGATATGTGGGGATGCAGGATTGAATCACCATTCCTGTCACTTCAAGCTGTTGATAAATTGTTCGGCCAAAAAGTGTAGTGTACTTACTTCCTTGGGGTCATTTGTAGGCTGGGAGTAATAGCTGCATAGCGACAAAGAAGTGTGTGTGTGTGTTTGTGTGTCCAGTTATATACATTATATATGTAATATATACAACATATATATGCACATAGATAACATATGTGTGTTTAAAAGTTTAAAAATTATAAGAAAATGTGTACTTTGCATTTTTATCTACCTCATGCATGGCTTTATGGCACATATTTAAGTCTTTTTATCAATTGAGTTCATCTATAATTGCAGCATTTCAGGAATTCTCAGGAAAATGTTTCACTTTTCTAAGTAAAACTTTAAAAAAAATAAATAATTCATCTATGATTTTACTTCTACATCAGTATAGATTATGATCTTTGGAGAAAATATATGTTTCATACTGGAAGATACTACATTTTAAGATATCTGAGAAAGACATCATCATCCTCATAAAACATTTAATATTTATATCTTTACTTAGATTTTTTTCAGAAAGCATATTTAACTTAAAATGATAGCTGAAGTTCAAAACATCACACTGAACACACAAAATTATGTAAGTATATGTAAATTAATAAACAAATGTAAAAGTGTTATGACATTATTTAATATAATGTGCTGATTAATAATTTATACTCAGGCAGTATGCCATCTGAGTGACAAGCCTACTTGAAAATCCAGTGGCCTTAGAAATTTTCTTCTGCTTTCAGATTCTATGACCCTATTATGTTCAGAAGACAGATCCATATAATAGAGCTGAGGGGAAAAAAAAGATAGATTTTCAAAATCAATTTCAATAGTTTTCATTTTACTCATGTTTGTTTTTGGGAGAAATAGTCTTTATTATTTATAAATAATCTGTTAATCAGTTCTATGTGTTTTAGTCTGCTTTTTGGAAATAGTTTAGTGTTTCTTCATCTCTCTATAGTTTAAGTGCTGAACTTGTGTCACAAGGACTTCTAGATTATCTTGCTTTTGCTTGTATCTTTCTGTTTTTGCTCGCTCATGCTTCACATTTGCATATCCTAACTATATTTTTGGAAATGGCCTTATTAAAACAATGGGTCTATCAGATAATATAAGTCTGATATTCACTTTACATAAAAATATTAAAGTTAAACATCTTATCAAGGTGGTCAAATTAGTTTGTAAATTATTTTCTTTAGCAATCTGAATCTCAGCCTCCTACAGTTACCAGTTTTAAAAACACACACAGGCACATGTTTAGTTTCTTCTGGTACTTTCACATACCTGCCACTGTCCAAGCCTATGTCTATATCAAGAGAAAAAGCTATCGTCTAGAATATATTAAAATACATGTATCAAAATGAGTGTAAATATTATACAATTTCCTATTTCTATTAGTACATATTGGCACTGTTTTCTATTGTTTAGAATCCTTACTTGATAATATATGACCTTAGCAATTACATAACTTAGCTAGACACTCATACACAAACCCCACATAATTGAATCCCTCCTACATTTCAGCTTCCAAGAATCTCTCATTAACTTAATACAAATATAAACTGAATTTACTGAATATATTCATTTTTGTAATCTGTTTTCTTAATTATTTTATTTTGGGAAAATATAGATATATCTACTGTCTTTTCACTGAAGTACAATTTCAATTTCTCTACATTTACTCTGCTGTTGAACCTAAATGTTGACGATTAAGTTATCTTGACATGAACCATTTGATGCTTTGAAAAAACCCACCATGAAGCATTTGATGGTATTTTTTATTAATTGGATAAATGAATTGTGAGATGTGTGATTGCATGATGATGTACTCATTTAGTTGTTGCTTTTTGCTTTTACTAATCTCTGTCATATTGGATTTATAAATGGAACAGAGTGACCTTTGAAACTGTGATGGAAATGAAGAGATAAACACAACTTGAAAGGACAAACCAATTAATATCAATGTGTTTGTTACACATACATGAGGAATTTTAATCCTTTGCTCTCTGCAGTACATTTGTGGTTCATTTGTTGAGTAAGGGAGCATACTTTTTTATAGTTACAGATTTAGATCTTACTTTTTCTAAAATATATAAATTTATATGTCACCATATATATATATACACACATATATATATAAAACAGAATTAGATTATTTTTAGTGCATAAAATGTTTTCAGCACTACCTTTAAAAATTTTGACAATATAGCCTTTCTAGAAAACATTTAAATATGTATTCACACCTATGCAAAAAAAAATGCATATAAGGTATTCATGTGCATTCATCTTATGTATTTTAAATATAAATACATTGTAATCTTAAGTGCAGTAAATTATTGAATAGACCTTGGTTTTGTAAATTTAGACACATAATTGATCCTCTGCCATTGTCCCTAGAATACTTTCTAAAATTCCTGATTCAGGGATCATCAATAAAGCATTTATTATTTTAACCCATTGACCTGTAATATTAAAAAGTATTTTTTAAAATCAACAATTATACTTGAGTAGGCTTTTAAAATAAAATCTGAGCAGTCATTTATACATTATTTTTACCTCGTGCCTTCCCCAGTTTTTATGTAATTAGGTTTATTTTTCTTAAAAAAAAACCCTAATTCTGCTGTAGTGTGGATTTTAGTACACTTGCACATTCTACTTCATTTAATAGCTTAATTATAGAATATAATCAATTTAATATGCAGGTTTTGAAATATTGCCATTGATGCACAACAAGGAAAAAAGTAATACAAGCTTGACATTTTGAAACACTAGCATTGAAAGACTTTAACTTCTAATTGATTTTTAAAAGAGTTCCCTGGAAAAGTGAGCTCAGAAATGTTTATAACAGCTTTGGCAACATTCCAAAATGTTTACCACAAAGCATAACTCAGCAGTTTCTGAGTTTTTCTATCAACTAAGAAAGATGTGTCCTATAATTGGCTTAATCCATGTTGATATTGAACCCCCCACACAGATGTTATCTTTTTAAAGACATAAATTCTCAAAATGATCACTTCAATATAAGAAATGGCTTCACTTTTTCCAACCAGGGAAAAATTCTGAACAAGAAAGTTATGGATGAGCAAGGGGTATATCTTTATATTTTGTGAAATTACATATTTTATTTCCTCCTTGCCCTTCCAAACCTTGTTTAGTAAAGCTGACAAAAAGAGGATGCATTTTAGATATATTAATATCATAGTCACTTACGGTTGACTGTAGGTGTGAAAAACTTCCACAGCCAGCTAAAATGTTAATGGATATGACATCCATTTTATTTTAACAAGTGAGCAGACCAAAACAAGTAACATTGAACGCAGAAATTATTTTAAAAGGCTACTGCTAAGTATTTTTTTTAAAAATGATTCTGTTGACTAGTTGTTTGTCAGTTCCTGTACTTTTTTTATTGATTGCTTTTGAATATATAGCCCCATGATTGATGCCAAGCCTACGTCCGTGAGTGAAAAGAGCTCAATTTACACAGAAAATGAATATACAAGCTTTATTTATATCTGTACTTTCTAATATTAATTTTGTAATGTGGTGTTTCTTTGAAAGAGGTCATAGAGTAGTTGTAAATGTTGTTAACTATTTTATTCTTCCGGGTCTTTGGTTTTAGCCTATTTGCTTTTTCACAGGTGTGATTCAGGGCAATAATGTGATATTTCAAAGTATGTTCAGCCAGAATGAATCACTTATTCATAAGCATTTCTTTTTTGAGATGAAGACTGCAGCATAATTGTATAACATCTACTTATTCCTCCAGGAATCTGGAGTGATTTGTGGTTTGAAATTTCTGTATCATAAACTCATGCAGTGCAGGCAGTATTACATTTAGTCAATAACCAGGAATTCTGATTAGTTGGCTGTAAATCATGAATGTTGAGAAATAAAGGTGACAAAAACAATTAATAAAAAAGAAATAAATTGATAAAAACAGGTAATACAGTAGACAGTATTCCCTAATTTGTCAAAACCATCTATAATCCAGCATGAGTTCTAAGAAATAGGTCTGCATGCAAATGTCCCTCAATACCAAATTCACATGTTTTGTAAAAAAATTTGACCCTGCTGGGCAGAGTGGCTCAAGCCTGTAATCCCAGCACTTTGGGAAGCCGAGGCAGGTAGATCACCTGAGGTCTGGAGTTCGAGATCAGCCTGGCCAGCATGGTGAAACCCTGTCTCTAATAAAGCCGGGCGTGATGGTGGGCACCTGTAATCCCAGCTACTCGGGAGGCTGAGGCAGGAGAATCACTTGAACCTGGGAGGTGGAGGTTGCAGTGAGCCAAGATCGCGCCATTGCACTCCAGCCTGGGCAACAAGAGCGAAACTCCATCTCAGAAAAAAAAAAAAAAAAATTGAACCCCGAAACTGCATTAGAAACAAATATTTAAATGTCATAATTCTCTCTCTCTCTCTCTTTCTATGTATATATATAGATATTCCCACTTTTACACTATTCTGAATCCAATACCCTATTCTTTTCTCATTTGTTCATTTTAGAGACAGGATCTCACTCTGTCATTCAGGCTGGAGTGCAGTGGCAGGAACCATAGTTCACTGCAGCCTCAACCCCTGGGCTCACATGATCCTCCTGCCTCAGCCTCCCAAGTAAATAAGACTACAGGCATATGCCACCACACCTGGCTATTTTTCTTTTTCTTGTAGAGACATTGTTGCCCAGGTTAGCCTGGAACTCCTGGCCTCAAACGATCCTCCCCTCTTGGACTCCCAAATTGTTGGGATTACTGATGTGAGCCACCACACCTGATCTTCTTTTCTCATTTAGAGAAAAACAAAATAAGCAAAAACTCCTGCACATAATGAAATTGGACATAACTTTCATTTCTTAGGCTACAATACTGTTCCAGTATAGACAGGTTTGACCTAAAATTCCAAGATGCATGCATACCTGTCCTTCATGCCTCCAGCTGTTCATGCATGCATCATTTCCTTTTCTGTTCATCCTCACACAGCTCCAGTTTCTTAATACTCTGTAATATCTACCTCTAGTCTCCCCAAAGCAATCTTTGGAAGTAAGGGGGAGGAGAGAGAGAGCCAAAACATGGAAGTGAAAATTGGGAAACAACAGAATGTTTGTGGTTCAGCATTAAAAATACAAAATCTGGTGCCATGTGGTTTTGGTGTAAAACATGACTTTTTTGTTTGTTTGTTTGTTTTTGCCATTGTTAGGACATTTTTGCCTTCTTACTTAGCCTCTATGAATCTCAGTTTCCTCATCTGTATAATAGGTATAACAATTTGAAATATTACATAGGGCTCTTTGGGGATTATTTGGGTTAAATTAGTTCTCTGAACACTGCTTGATACACTGCAATCACTATTCTAAAATTTCTTAAGTAGGTAATAGAAGTAAAATAATAAAGGTGTACATACACACACACACATGAACATTCATAGATGTCTTCTAAAAAGCTAAGACTTTCCAGTATTCCCAGAGTCTCAATGTTAGTTCAAATCATATAGAATATTGCCTCCTCTACATGCCCTCAACATTCATTTCTTATCCAAGATCTTCATTAGTTGATCATGACTGAATATTTATCCAAAGAGTGTCTTATGGATTATTTACTGCAGTCTCTGAGCCTGTGTCAAGCTCAGGAAATATGCTACAAGATTCAGATTACATTGCTACACTTTTTAAAAAGTACGGGCACACAGGAAGAGGAAAGTTGTCAGTTATTTCATCTGCATATTTTTAAAAATAAATCAATAATCAGCCAGTAAACTTTAATTGAAAAGTTTTGTCTCATTTTATGTTATCAGACAAAATATGTACTCCAGCTCTAAACACAGACATTACTTTATTCAGTGCACATAAGACTTCCTTTAATTAGCCCTTAATAAGCTTGGTTTAACTGGGATTTACCGAAGAACAGTGGTCATTAACATTAGCCAGATTAAGACTGTGTTAATTACTATTGATAGATAAAATAACGCCTAAAAATGGTTTAAATTATTTCTACACTTATGAATTGAAAAGAAGTTTGACACTTTTAAATAGAAGTTGTATTTTATTTATACTTTAACATTAAATAATGACTTCTTTACATGTAGGCCTACAACAATAGAACATAAGCTTTTATAGTTTAAGTTTTACAGCTTCTTTAGGTTTACCATAAACATGGGATAATCTTAAAATATAAATTTTGATTATTTCCTGGGATATAAATATGGAAATTTTTACATTTACTTTTATGATTTATGTTACATGATTTTAGTTAGAAACAGATACCTTACTTATACGTTATCTTCAGAAGACTTAGTTATCTTTTTTTAAAAAAAAAACTGATAGATTCAAATGATTTCTTGTATTTGGAGAGGATTTTGTTACATTTGTGGCTTTTTTTTTTTTTTTTTTTTGAGATAGAGTTTTAGTTTGTCACCCAGGCTGGGGTGCAATGGTGCAATCACGGCTCACTGCAACTTTGACCTGCTGAGCTCAAGTAATCCTCCTGCCTTAGCCTCCAGAGTAGCTGGGACTACAGGCATGCACCATCACACCTGGCTAATGTTTTTATTTTTTGTAGAGATGGAGTCTCACTGTGTTCCCCAGGATGATCTGGGACCCCTGGGCTCAAGTGATCCTCCTGCCTTGGCCTCCCAAAGTGCTAGGATTACTGGCACAAACCATTGCCAGGCATGAGCTGCCCTAGTTTTGGCATTTTTATATTAATGATGTCTTAATGTTTATCCTTAGCCTTGGTGTCACTTTTCCCCATCATATATGTGTGTTTAATAGTAACTGAAATTTGGGTTTTTTTTCCTCCATGTGCATAATTTCTTGGACATTATATCAAGTTAAGCTATTTCTCAGGATTCTGTAAATAGTTTCTGTGTTATCCATTCCTACATCCATTCTCTTGAAACTACTCTTGCAGAATAATAATATTTATTGGATTAATGTGTATGAAAGCAGGTCAACTACCCGTGAATTCTGGATAGACAAAACCAATGGAATTCTCCTCGTTTTCATTCTGCATAAAATTATGCAGTCCAATGGTTAAATTCTATAGTTAGTGGTAATATACTCTCCCCTCCATGATGATTTAAACCATTCTCTTCATTAAAAGATGCATAACAAGAACCTTCATATAGTTCCAGGCAAAATGGATTATAAATAAATACAATCTTATGCCTCTGCATGGACTCTGACTTTGGTCAGTCTTCCTTAAGCTCAGTACATAGCAATCTTTAAGAAAACAAACGAACAAACAAACAAACTCAGATGCTGGGCGTGGTGGCTCATGTCTGTAATCCCGGTACTTTTTGGAAGCCAAGGCAGGAGCCCAGCCTGGGCAACATGGTGAAATCCCATCTCTATAAAAAATACAAAAATTAGCTGGGCATGGTGGCACACACCTGTGGTCCCAGCAACTCGGGAGGTCGAGATAGAATTGTGTGAGCCCAGGAGGTCCAGGCTGCAGCAGTGAGCCATGATCACACCACTGCACTCCAGACTGGGTGACAGAGGGAGACCCTCTCTCAAAAACAACCACAAAAGCCCACAACAACCTCAGACAGTCAATCTAGAAAATTAGGTTTCATCCTTAACATGTGTAATCTGTTTATTCTTCCTCCAAACCATATCTAGGATTCAAATTCCTCTTTGCACTGCATCCATTGCCAGTGCGATAACTCAAATTATCAGCACTCCCCACGTTGGCCACTGCAGTAACCTTAACCAGACTTCCTGTTTTCACTCCTTGTCTTTTTAAATCCTCTCGCCTTGCAACAGCTACAGTGATGATTATGAGGCATAAATTCATTCATAAGATTTCCTTTTAAAAAATCTTTCAATGGCGTTTCATTGCACTGATAATAAAATTCAACTTCCTTAACATAGCCTGAAAAGACTCTGCATAAAGTGGAATGCTCCTCACCTCCTCTCTCAAAACTCTTGGGTTATTCTTCCCCTTTTCATTCTTCCTGCCACACTGGCATTTCTCCAGTTTCTCAAACAGACTACGTCCTTTCTTTCTGCAGATGTTCTTAAAAACTGGCCAGTGGATCTCTGTTCTCTTTGTTCTTAAATTTTGGAATTCCTACTCATTTTCCAGTCTCTGCTTAAATGTCTTTCCTCGAATGCTAAAATTAAAATCAGTTCTTCAAGTCTGCTCCATCCTATATCACCCTGTTCTTTCTGTTGCACTTTGCACAATCTATAATAACATCTTTATTTGCAAGCCTGTTTGCTTCATAACCATCGTCCTTCCTGAGACCATCAGCTTGCTGAGGGCAGGGCAGGCCTGGCCACATTGACTGGCATGCACTATCAGTCAATTATTCAACAAATAGTCCTGAATGAATTCTTAATGAATGAGTACTCACTAAGCAGGAATGCTTTTGTATACATTATTTTTGTTACTACAGGCTGTCTTATTCATGGAATTCCTCTAGATGCTTTTCCAATAGAATATTTCCTTCATTTTAAGCTGCATTTTGCTCAATGTCAGCATTCCAGAGTTTTACTATGTAGGGTGTTATAATCTCATTTTCTTGTACAATGCACGTCTACATTTACTTATTCTTTTCATTTAATCTGGAACATAAAACGTTAATATTGTTGGCATTTCCACTTTACAGATGAGTAACTTGAATCCCAGAGAAGATCGTTTTTTGCTTGACATTATGTGACTTTTAAGGTCGTGTAATGAAGGCAGGGTCTACTGTTTGGACTCCCACTTTGGTGTTTACTCCAGGTTATTAGGTAGGGAAAATAAGGTCTAATCTTTTTTTTTAAGAACATTAAATTAGAAATCTAGAAATTTGAGTTCTAGTTTAGTTTTGCCAGCATCCATCTTGTTGACCTTGATGACATAAGGTAAACATTTTGTGTCTTACTGTATTAATTTGGTTGATTACAGCCGTTTGGAATGGAAAGTTCTCAGTTTATATAATTACATTATTGTATAATATAATATAACATAAGGAATTGGTATCTTTAAGTCACTCAAATTAACCTCCATATTATGGAGTGAGGAGAAAGGATTCTACTATAGCATTTCAGGAGCATAATATATATACAGCGTTGAGATTTCTGTGGCCATAACTCATAACACTATGGAGAATGTAAAATAAAATTTGGATCGGTATGCTATCAACTTTGTTATGTATCACTTTCCATGTTCTTACCCTTGCCCAACAAATTCCCCTAAACTTATAACAACAAAAATATCTTTTGTGATGTTATATCCTTGTTTAATACCTTTTTATTCATCCTCATACGATTGTCCCTCAAATAATATGTATTCTCTGTATCTGAGCTCTTTTACATAGTATTGGATTATACTATAAACCCTTTGTGGCAGGGACCTTGTCTTTTTATTTGCTCTATAAAACACCATGCACATCTTGGGAATTTTATGAATAATAATAAAAAGGAGGCAAAAAAGCTTTCATCAGCAGTGTTTTATTTTGCATGTGAATTTAGAGATGAATTCATACCATTGTCCATATTTCTGGAGAAATAGCTGCTTATATTACAAAAGTTGACTACGAAAAAAGCATGTAATATTAAATCTGAAAATTTACATTGCTGGTATAGAAAAAATAAATGAAGCAATACAATTTGCTTTTTCCTGCCCTTTATAAAAATATTGCCAAGTCTGGCATGTGGTTCATAAAATCAAACATTTTCTAACACAGCTGTGCATGAGGAAATGAAATACGGAAGGTATAAGAAACCACCTGTTTGCCAGAACAGAAGTTTCAAAAAAGATAAACAGCAGAATTTTACATGAATCCCTGTTGAAGATCTATTCCGCTATTAATACTAAAGCCTTAACACTTATTCTTCAAACAGGTGTTTTGCATGTGAATTGAAGGCTGAATAAGTCCATGGACGATTCATTAGTAAACACCATTTTTTTAATTCAGTACACAAGATGATATTGAATACAACTGTCAAAGATAATTTTGCAACCAATTCAGTTTTAAAATCTAAAATTATAACAAACCGCAAATTCCTGTTTATTCCAAATGCTCTCCTTTCCCTTCTTTATCTTAGTTTCAAAACTCTCATGAACTTGACAGTGTTCTCCCTTGATGAAGAGAAAGTCTGAATTATGCCATAAATCATACTGAGCTACCAGAGAAATTCAAATTGCTGTAAGCACAAGTGCCGAGGGACTGCTTATACACTGCCTGAGCCATAATGCAACGTTCACAACGAGATCATTGCATCATAATCTCATTCTGACTGTGATATGCTTTGTGTGTATGGGGCTCAAATGTCAGAGAGAGAGACAAGAGTGATTATCAGGTTAGATTGCTCTCCTATTTTAGGTTAAACAAATGATCAGAAAAATACATTAGCCCGTATAAAATATTTCAGAATTAAAAACTTCCCCAAAGATTTATCTGCATGAGACACTTCTTAGTATGCTTTGTCTAGGTAGATTTAACACTAGAAGTTCTAGAAACAGTTGAGAGATCTTTTAAGATCCTTTTTCTTCTTGTTTACTAAGTGTTAGTAAACTCTTTGCACCCCAAACACCAAGCTTAAAGAGATGTCAAACAACAAAAAACTTCAGAATATTTCTAATCAATGTAGAAAATGTATATATGGAAAAATTCTGGTGAAATTATTATTATACTCATATGATATGTTTTTGTGTTATGTTAATGTATTGAATCTTTGCCAGTGCCTATGTATGTGCATATGTATGTCTCTGTGATTTATGCAGATGCTCTCTCTTTAAGATTTATGCTTGGCAATTATGAGATGCTTTGTAGTTTGTTCTCATATATAATAGTAGGAAATTACTAAAAACAAAACAAAACAAAAACTAGATTTTCCCACTTCTTTGCTTGAACGAGGGGTAGAAACATCACTTTGAATGAAATAGTCACGACCATCGTAACTTTCATATTCTGTATGACAGTAGAATTCTGTTCAGTAAAGCGAATATAAACATTTTTGTACAATGCTCTATAAAACATACAGATATCCCTGTTTTAGTGTCCAGTTCTCATTTAATATCAGATCAGATAGATATTATATTCTAGTTCTATTTAGTGGTTCATAGAACCTAATTATGTTGTCCAGCATCATCTTTCCCACTTGGAAATTCTAGGAAGATGACCACATCCACTGCAAACAAGAACATTTTTTTTTTCTATCAGTGTAGTTTGCCTCTTTTATTTTACAGTTTTGTATCTTATCTTAATGAACTGGCCATACTTTAGAACAAAGTTGAATATTAGGTTCTTCATTTCAAATTTATAAAGACTATGTCTCATTTCTCCCTGATATATGATGTCCTTTGAGGGTTTCTGTAAGTATATTTTTAAAAATGAGAATGTTTCCTTTTTTTACTGACTACCATCCAGAATGGGTTTTTAATAATAAAATTTTTTATATTTATCAAGATAAAAAGTCAACTTCTGGCTGGGCGCAGTGGCTCACGCCTGTAATCCCAGCACTTTGGGAGGCTGAGGCGGGTGGATCACCTGAGGTCTGGAGTTCGAGACCAGCCTGACCAACATGGTGAAATCTCATCTCTACTAAAAATATACAAAGTTAGCCGGGCGTGTTGGTGAGCACGTGTAATCCCAGGTACTCAGGAGGCTGAGGCAGGAGAATCACTTGAACCTGGGGAGTGGAGGTTGTAGTGAGCCAAGATCGCGCCTGGGCTACAAGAGCAAAACTCCATCTCAAAGAAAAAAAAAAAGTCAACTTCTAAGGGTTTTAACTTTTTAACTAGTTGTGTTTACTAAAACAAATGACTAATATTTCATAAGTCTGATTCATTCAGTCTTCAATCTAGACTAAAGAAGCATGGTTTCCTGTTTATAGTATGTACACAGCACCAGGAAAACATCAACATATATTCTTAATATTCTTATCCACATATCATTGTGAAACACACGCGGATGTTTGTGTGTTTATATGTATGAACTAAAATAAATTGCAACGGTGACTTCGTATGGTCACAAAAAGAGAAAGATCTGTTTTCTGGACTAGAGATATGGATGATGTGGATTTTTTTTTCTATGTATATTTTTTAGTCTCCATAGTTCTCTAGAACTAGGCACATAATAATAAACTTCATATTAATCTATCATATTTATTGGTGGTTTAGAATAAATTTTATACTATTGTTGATGTTGCTTAATATATTTATTATAAAATTATACTTGCTTTAAAGGAAGGATTATTACTTTTCTCCTTTCATGGCTTAGAACAAAGCAAAAGAAAGCAAACAAACCAAAAATATCAATTCATGTATCTTTTGTCCATTTGCATGTTGGGTAGAGTTCCTGTTTTATCTTCCTCAGTTATGCCATGTCTTCATAAGGAGAGGTACAATTATCTTTATATCCTCAAACTATGCCCATGTATTCTATAGTATATACTCAGGAAATTCGTTATGGCCAGTGCATGTAAAGTTTGCAAAAGCTCCTATTCTCCTATTGGCACAGAGCATGAAATAATTATTATAAAAAACAGAATGAATTTGCCATACTCAAGCCCATACATTTTTCCTTTTGAAGAATCATTATACTTCAGTCCTTATTAATTCTAGAATAATTTAGTTTTAGGATTAATTATAAGTGAACAGATATACCATATTCCAAATTTGGAATATTATTCACTGTTGATATAAGTTGAGACATTCAGAATATGATGTGTTAATCTATTGATATTTGAGGACTTGAGAGTAAAGTTTATTTTTAAGAATTTCTGGTAGCCATATGGTAATAAATACTGTCTAAAAGTCTAATATAGAGTGAAACCTTCACCAGACTATTGGTATGATAGTCTAGTAAGGTCAGAAGCTCAGAGGTTTTATCCATGCTATTTTATACACTACTTATGTTCTTAACAAACCAACATATTCATTTTCTCTTTTGTAATGGGTACATGATGGACATAATAACATCTTGTTAATAGTTTTCATAGAAGAAACGAATTTTAATGTGTATTAGTCTTTTGTAAGTGGATTTGTTTATATGTATGCTGGATGTTATTATTACCCACATGGTTTAAATCTATATCCATGATAATATACATACTGTTCAGAAAAAGTATTTTTCTGATGTGTATATAAAAATGTTTTGCAAGAGATTCACTTGCAAATTCAGCATTATCTCTCTTAAGGATAAATTCATGAGGATGTGTATCTTACCCATTTTATATATATATATATATACACATTGTAATCTCTATTACTAATATGCCTAATTCATAATCTACATCTTTCTCATTAATATGGAAATTGTTACAGAGTATCATGATTGTGAATTAATACATATCACTTAAGCGTTCTGGGCATCAGTATCTTCATTCCTAAACTGAGGGAATAAATGCAGTAACTTTCAAAATTTCTCATTGTTTAAAAACTTTTATTTTTTATGACACTGTTCCTTTGAAACTGATACAGCTGACAGGCAGTCTGAATTTTGTTGGTATCTTTCAATTTATCACGTTTTAAACACTCCACAAAGTCCCAGCCCAGAAACAGGAACATGTGTGCTGTTGCTCATGATAATCTTTGTATATGCTCAGTGAAATAAGTTTACCATAACTTAGTAGTCACTTTCATCCAGAGAATTTTTCCTGGTGGTATTAAAACACAAAGACTACTATCACACTGGTCTTTAAGGGGAAACAATAAATAAAACACAAATAAACAAGCTCCTAAGAGACAATTCTTATTCACATTTGCTGATGATTAGAGGTACACTTGGCTTTGAAAGTCATGCCCATTTAACACAGTATTTTTAAAAGACTTACTTTTTTCCATGTAACAGCGATATCAGAAATGCATTTCCTTGAGTTACTTTGAAAAAAAATTTTAGAATTGTTACATGGCTTAGTACCTGTACAATCTAACTGTCTTTATTGAGATCATAGCATATAAGGTAGAATGTTTTATACAAAACAATAATAAGCCTGTATACATGAATTTAAAACAGGAATTTTTAAATATCAAATAGAAGAAATGCAACGTAAGGATTAAATTATCATATTGTAAAAAGTTATGCAGGTGAACACCTTGTTATTACAAATATAAAATGTAGCCTGAATAAATCTATGAAAAGCTCTTTTTTAAAGTGCAATTATATCCTGTAATGTGTAGTTTTTCCTGTCCCTTATGTTTATTTTAATTTTAATATGAAAGAAATGATCATCCCATTTTCTTTGAAAGTGGAATAAAGGTAAAACCACAAACCTTTTGAAAGAATTCCTTTGTTCCCAATCACATGAGTGTTGTTGGAACAAAATTTTGCCACCTGCCAGAGGCTTTAAAAACTAAATCAAAAGGCTCACTACTTCAAAATGCTCAAACTAAAGGTAGGCTTCTGGATGAAAATGTAATGACTAGATCATTCTCATCATACATTTATTACAGTGCAGCAGAATTGATGGATCTTTTGCTACCTTTCACTAGAGAATAATTCATAAATGAAAATGAAAATATTTAAATCATGAATAGCTATTTTATTCCCTCATTCTACCTGTTAGGGATCTAACATTTAGGGTGTCTCACTATGTTCATATTAAAACTTCCCAAAAGAAATAGAGAGGAAAAAGGTGAAGTATTTCTCACACTAGTTAAAACAATTCAGTGTTGGCATGCTTCATTAACTGTTTGCATACAAGAGAAAAGTGCTTTCTGATGAAGTGGAAAACCAACTTGGGACCAATTTTCCACAACATAAATTCAACACTCATTCTACCTCCTGATACCTTTGTATTCAAACTATCAGGAAGATTTTTTATATCTGTCATACCAGTAATCATTTAATACTTCTATTTTAGATTCTGAAATCCTTGAAAATAGTTCTATTGTAGATTCTTTATTTCCTTAGAATAATTTTAAGATGAACATCTACTAATATTTTTTCATAAATGTGAATTCATTGAACTGACAGTTATCAAACTGATTTAGAAAGAATTCTTATCATGTAAGAAACATAATAAACAGGGTGTTAAAATGGACAGCTTAAACAAAATATTGTTTACATTCAATTTTATTCTGTTTCTCCTCTCTATATAAAATATTTGTAAATAGATGTAGATGTGTGTATACATTCAATATATAGTTAAGCAGCATAATGAAGGTGATGTATTAAACATTACTGCAAGTCTAGAATATCATTTATTACAGTACTAGCAGAAAAATAGTACTCTAGTAGATTAGCAGAAAAAGTGAGTGCCAATTTGAAACACCATTGTTGATCACTGTATCACAACAGTGTAGCTTCAGTGAGATAGGTGAGTCACTCTGCCAGTTCAACACATGATAGCTGCAAAGTGCCACCAAACACAATGAAGTCATCCACAGTCCCTACTGAGTCTAAGTTATTATTCAGTTTATTACATAGCGTTTTGTCTTCATCAGCAATGTTCAACAATCACTTTCAATTACACGGGGTGAGAATCTGGGAGACTGTCTTCACTTCTCTGTGGTTGTAAATTCATATTTTCTAGACTCTGCATGGGGAAAGAAAAAGGACATTATAATATTTTTATTTTCATAATAAAAGTAAGACTTATTGAAGAGGAAGAATCTTTCATTTTTCACAATATCATAAAATATTTCTCTTTTAATGAATTGCTGTGAGCCAATGTTTTTGTTGAAAACATTCTTTGATAAAAGCTTAAAAATGATATAAGCATACATGTTTTATTATATGAAAAGTAATCAATTATAAATATTCACACTGTGAAGCATTATTTTATCACATTTAGTATATTCATTCATTATGTTATTTAAATTTTATTTCATTAAAACTTGGTATATTATTCACACTAAACCAAGTGATCTTATTGTGATTTCATAAATAGAAGTTTGTCATACTCGAACATATCTTTTGATATTAAAAATAACATCATGTTATTTCATTTGTTTCTTTCAAATATAATATCATATTACAATACATTAGTTGTATCGTTCAAGCTAAGAATATATTCCCGATATGAAGAATATGTTGAGTAGTGTAAGTTTAATATTTAAAAAATGTAATTATTGATTCAGTGAACTAAATATATTAAACATGTAAAACATTAGATTCTTTTAGTATACAGGCATAGTCATCTTTATGGATTTTTCCTGAAATGTTTTATGTAAATCAAGAGTTTTATCTAATCAAGCTTTAAGGGAATCCACTACTTAGAAAATATTTTAATATAATGCATTTTCTTAAAGTGAACTGCATCTATAGTGATTTTGAAATTCAAGCCATTTTGCATAAATATTGCTTATGCATGTATACATTTATAGACCACTTTGTCAATGGGGGAATAAAAACAACTGAGACCAAGAGAAGTGTTTCGGTTTACATGTAAACTAAATGAGACCAAAGGAGGTGTTTTAGTTCCCTGTTTGCTATTTTGATTAAATTACTGATATGCAAGAGAGATCCTTTGAAAGTCCCTTTGTTTTGATTTATTAGCAGAATATGATGCTAGAGCTGATAAGATAATGCTTTTGATGCAGGAGGAGATAAATGAGAAATTGCTCCATTGCCATGTGACACCTGGGTTCTCTAAGGTGTCTAGTTTTACTCTGTTCATCTATTGGCTGAGATAACTTCCATTTAGATACTGAGAGTTGAGCTCAGTTAAAATACGTTTTTATATTTTTGTTTCAGTTATGTCACCTTCATTAGTTTTAATTCCTAAAAAGACCATATTATTGGAAGCTTATAAAGCCGTAATTTCTACCTTGGAAAAGTAACATTTAACGGTTTGGTTTCATGAGAAATTGTCCATTCTTCTGAGTGCATGGTAATGGTATTGGATGAGTTATAATCAGTCGTCCATCTGGAGTGGTTCTTCTGTTGGTCTATTGAATATCAAAGTAGTGAAGTTCCACTGTGGAAAGTTGAAAAATTTAGCTTGTCTGTTTTTATTTATCTGTTAGGATACTTAGTTCATTTTTACTTAATCACTTGATTTGATGTTTATTGATTCAGTAAGTATTTTTATAGTAAATATGTGCTTAGGTTTTAAAGCACATTTTAAAGTATGAGATAAATGAAAAATTAACTAATTGGAAAATAGGATTTGAAAATATCAATAATCACTGAAGTTTGTGAAATTACATGAAGTGATTTTTATATTGCATTTTATTATTCATTAAATATGACATCAGTAAACTTTATTTGTAGAGTTTTGAAAAAATGCTTTCATTGTATAAGTCAAATTTTGTGAATGTATCCCATCAAGCCCCCCACAATGTGACATAATGGCATAAACTAGGAGACTAATTAGATATATCTTCACAACAGTTATATTCAGCATTGATGAAAACTTCAATATTATCAAAGTTACCCTGACATTCCCTTTTGAAAATACAAATAGGCCTTTATTCTCCTTTGTAATAAAGAAACAATAACTTGTAATGTTCATAATTTTATTTACATGGAGCATAATATCGGTATCACATACAAAATTTAGGTTAATTAAAGCATAAATTTTCAACTAATGTAATGTATCCCACATATATATCTATTTTTCTTGATAGGTAATTTATATAAAATATTATTTGTTGGAGTATCTATCCCATTTAAAACTGGCCAACATATAATATTTTAAAATTCGTTATTTGTATAAACTAGACACTATTTTATCGTTTCATGTGACACAGAAAAGAAAACAAGTTATACACCTCTGAATATGGTGGAATTTTTTTAGCTATGCTATCACAACTCTGCAGAGAGGTGGTTTATTTTCCTAAAATAAACACTGAAAGTGATGCACAGCCCAGCCACTCAATGCACACATTTAACACTCACCAGGAGGGAGGTTTGGTGTACTGAACACACTAAGTTTTAGATCTCAGAAGGGGCTTTACAACCTGTGGTGTAGGCACACTTCTTTGAGTAGAAAGTATGTCATTAAAATACTGCCCTCTTACAGTGACTTTAAACTAGGATAGTTGCGATTGTTTTTAGTCTGTACACAGCATGAGAAGCATTTTGGTATTTTCCTGGAGTAATCCACCATTGGTATACATGTCCTAATGGGGGAAACCAGTTTCTTCATGAAAAGTAATATTGATTTTAATCCAATATGTCAAAAAAATTCAATTTTTCCAAAACAAACAAAAAAGCAACGATTGTGGTGACCGTTACATTCTGTATGTCACTACCAAATTGTAGACAAAAATTATTAAACAGAGAAACTGATCTTAATTTTATTACTTCAATAGCCAATTAAATAGTTAATTTAAGTGGTTCTCTGTGAATAAAAAGAAAGCAACGTAATTGAATAAAGTGTATTTTACTAGTTAAAAATATTCAAGTAGCTTATGTTGGCATCACAGAAACACATTCTCAATGAAAACATTGTGTATTGTATTATTAACTCACAGCATATGATCTCCATTTCTGCCTCCCTAGATTTCTCTCCCCCTGGGATAGTAACGATGTGGACTCACACATTTATTATATTAATTAGAAATCACTACCTAATATAATTATTCTGGCATGCACATGGTGAGTACTGAAAATATTATTGACAGAATTTCTCCATTTAACTGTGGTGTTAAAAAGATTTGCATGTCTAAAACAGCCTTGATTAGATATTGTTTTTGACGACTCTGCTCAGTGTTTTACTAGATGCACATTAAGCATGAGGACTTTTAGCACGTCTGAAGTAACATCTGCTCTGTCTTTTTGTTGCTGGGTTCATGGTATAATTAGCTCTATATTTCACCAAATACAATTTTGCTCCCATGGCGGACAAAGCAGCATGAAGAAAACATAAATAATTGCAGATTAGAGAAACAGAAGGCAAAGTGGGTGTAGATGGCTTTGATAAAAAAGGGTTAAGGAGAATAGAAGGTCAACTCATTATTAAGAAAAAAAGGAGGCAGTTAAAATTAGATATGGTTTATTGTAATTAAAGAAAACACACACAGATTTTCCTTCTAACAATGTTTTCTATTTGACTAAATAATTTAGTGACTTGCAATTATGCAGTTTATTTTATATTTACTTAGAAAACACTTTAAGAACTGTGCATGCTTGGATACACAAAATAAAATTTAATTATTAAAGGAAATGTTGAAAATATACAGGAAATTTTGTGTTGCTTTCCAGAATGTAAAACATATTTTTTGATAGTGCCATATTTATAGAGTCAAATTAGCTCAATGTAGCCAGCTGGTCAGGTATCCATAGCCTGATATTCTGATTTTACTGTGCCTTCAATTAACAATTAGTCAATATATTTGCATGAGCCAAGGGTATTCAATGCATACTATTGAATGTTTATTAAATTTGTAACTGTTTACTGTATGAAAATATCTAGCTCACTCATGCCTCATTGTTTAGCATTACACAAATTACATAAAAGAATATTGCATAATATATATAAAATATGTACAAGAGTCAAATGTTGAAATAGCATATTCTGGCAACCCATAACATGGGTTATTGTACTATTTTAAAATATGCTATATGATCAGTGGTTACATTAGTTTCAAAAATGTGAAATGTAATTATTCTCATCTTTTACTTTTAGACTACAAACTGTAAAACATTTTGACCTGATAATAGAGTACTGACATTTACTTTATTTCAATCAGAAAAAAAGTCCTCAGAAATCTTTAAAACAAAGTATAAGTTTTTGTTTTTGTTTTGTTTAGAAAAAAGACGGGCAGAGATTTTGTTCCTACAGGTGTTCCTCCAATAGCACAGAATAAGTAAGAATACAGAAATGTATTCTACTTCACTCTATATCTGAAGCATAAAATTCATATTAACTAGAACAATACAAGGCAAATAAAAGAACAGAAAGCAAGAAAAAGTCATAAATTACTATGTAGTGATGCGTTGAAGACAGTTTCATAAATATTATAAAAAATATTTTTTCCACTACATGTTTTCCTGTTGAAGAAAAAGGGACGAATATTTCTGTAATATAAGAGTATATTTTTCATATAAATAGCAAGTTTAAATATATTAATCCCACTGATAATATCTGGGAGATTTTGCCATATTCCTGTGAACTCCAGATGTTCTTGTCCAGCTTGCTTCAGGCGGAGAAAGAGATCGAAGAGGTGCAAGGACACATGTAAATAAACCATTTCCAGAAGACAAATGCCACCAAAGAACACTGCGTTATTCGCCTATTAATTATTTGGTTTTCTTTTATCTTTGTTAGATAGATAGAGAATAAAAAGCAAATCCTACTTTGGCACAGATATGAATATTTAAGTGGCATTTTTTTTTCCGGAATTATGGAACCTGAATTGAAAGAGACCATATGATTGAACTAGTTCTTAGAATCTTCTGGAGAGATTAAAAAAAAAAATAACTGGAGTTACACCGAACCAACAAAAGTATAATCTCTAAGGGTGAGGGCAATGTATTGAATTTTTTATTTGTTTCAGGTGATTCTAATGAAAAGTCAGTTTTGAGAATGACTTAATTCTAGTCTAATTACCTTTTGATGATTGAGTCCTCTTTATATACTTTTTTAAAATATAAACTTGAAAACCATTAGTTATCACATGTCCATTATACCAGTCTATCTGTGGATAACTTTGACTGTTAGAAAGAATTTATGTAAATTATGCATAACAGCCATTCACAATGTGAGAGTCCTTTAGGTGTTTGAATAAAACTGTAGTGGATCCTTGATTTTTATTGTGCTTATTTTCTGGCTATTTTATATATAAAATGATTTCCTGGATCCTTCTTTTATAATTATATAAATATGCATGTATACTTGTATATATGCACATGATATATATTATAAGGATATAACATATAATCATTGTAGTTATAAGGACAGGTAAATCAAATTATATGGAAAGACTTTATTTAGTTAAATATATCCACCTATATCTCAGGATTTGGGCATATATAGTGTGAAAAACTAGAAAAACTTTTTAATCCAAGTTTTAGTCCAGCCAGTAGTAGTGGCTTACTTATGTGGCCATTATTTCTGAATGAATATAACTTTTGTTTATGCTTTGCAGTATTTTAAAGAAAGGAGCCAAGAACTTGAAAGTTGTCTTGCCTTGGGCAAGCTACTGTCTTTCGAAGGATTTGCATCTACTAATTTTGATTTCTAAATCTATGATCTTTCTACATCAGAGTGTCTTTCCTATTGGTTATATTGATCAAGCATATCTGAATATTTTAGTTGTATTTGGTGATAAACAATTATAGTTCCTCTTTCTGTGAGTTTCAAATAACTGATTAAGACATTCAGATATTGCCATATGATTTTTTTGGCCCTATTCCTTAATACCAGGGACTATGATTTGATACTAAGACTGAAAATTATGGTAAAGACATTTATTCTGCTTTCTCATATCAGTTATTTTGTATCTTCATTATTCAGAGGCATCTCACATTATATCTGTGTCCTCTAAATTATCTTATGTGTGTGCGTGTGTGTGTGTGTGTGTGTGTGTGTAGAAATGTGTTTGTGTGTATGAAGAGGTAATACAAAAAGGAAAGTCTTTTTATATACATGTAAAAAAAATTAACATTAGCATAATTAGTATGAAATCAATGAGAGGGTTATTGACCATTTCCCATGTTAATAAGGTTACTGATTCAAAATAGTGTAAATACAGAAAGTAAGGAGGTTTATCATTCAGGGGAATTAAAGTCAATTTTATTATGTGCATATAAAACAAGATACAGGTGGAGAGATGTGTATTAATTGACTTTTCCTGCTCTACAGTTCCAATTCAAGAAGTGGACAATATAGCTTTGAGTGTCTCTCTTAAAACCCTGAAGATGGCATATAAGTAAATTAGATACAAAACTTTTGCCTGTTGGTTCTGTTCAGAACAAGGGAAGAGGATGCCATTTTTCTACCCCTGAAAGCCCAGGAATTGTTTAACAGCATTTCCATTGTTCAGGTTGTATAATTCATAAACCTCTTTAATACCTGAATTACATTACATTTAATGAAATTTTACTCCTAATTCATTTGATTTAGCTAAAACTTGCCTTTAATTTTGGGTCAGAGAATTTCAGCAATTTTTTCTGAAGTAGTATTAAATTATTTAAAACATGTGAATAGTGCAGTCCCATCATTCTGTTAAAACTCATTTTTTAGATGAATGCTCAAATGTCTTTTTATTTATATCATCAGCATGAGGCTTAAAATTATAATAATTTTATCATGGTTTGACTTATTTTATCTTTAGTTTTTATAGTAAAGTTTTGTGGTTTAGAAAAATGACATGTTTAGAGCTATACCCTTATATAAATAAGAGATTTATCCAAATATAAGAAGAACTCTAAGACCTAGACACTTTAAAAAAGTTAGAGCTGACCCTGATTTGAGAATAAACAAAATATAAAAATAACTAGGGTAAAGTTTTGCTAAGATTATGCTCCTTTGCAAATGTGGAAAATCACCAGATTTCTGGTGCCCAAGAGTATCTTTCCCACATAATTTTCACCATCGCCGAGGGAGAGTCTGTTGACTTGCAAGTAGAACTATTAAATAGGTTTTCTATTTTGAATATGTGATAAATGATAGTTCAATTTGAAAGAGGGCTGCAAATATAAATTTTCGAATACAGAGTGGTTTAAATAGGCTTTTGAGTACTGGCAACTCAATCATGGCCCAATTGGGCATTATTTTAGGGGAAAATTTATGATGTAAATCATGAGTGGTTTATATACATTTTCTACATCACAAAAGAGTGTATAGAATCAAAAAATAAGCGTCAGGCCGGGCGCAGTGGCTCACGCCTGTAATCCCAGCACTTTGGGAGGCTGAGGTGGGTGGATCATGGGGTCAGGAGTTCGAGACCAGCCTGACCAACATGGTGAAACCCCGTCTCTACTAAAAATACAAAAATTAGCCGGGCGTGGTGGCGCATGGCTGTAATCCCAGCTACTCAGGAGGCTGAGGCAGAGGAATCGTGTGAACCTGTGAGGCAGAGGTGGCAGTGAGCTGAGATTGCGCCACTGCACTCCAGGGTGGGCAACAGAGCTAGACTCCATCTCAAAAAAAAGCATCAATAAATTTTAAATTGCAACATTTATCAAAATATTTATACTGTGTCTTCAGTTTTAGGGTTTTCCAGGTCCCATTACTGTGGTCCAATGAAACAAAATTATAGCTAGTGCATCTTAATATAAAGGGTTTAATTTTATTTCTCTTTTTTTCCTATCTTATTTCTGCCTATTTTTTTTTTTTTTGACAGGGTCTTGCTCTGTTGCCCAGACTGGAGTGGAGAGGAGCCCTCTGGGCTCACTGTAACCTCTGCCTCCCAGGCTCAAGCAATCCTCCCACCTCAGCCTCCCATATTTTTTTTCCTTTTTGGTAGAAATGTGGTTTCACCATGTTGCCCAGGCTACTCTGGAACTCCTGGGCTCAAGCGATATGCCCACCTCAGCCTTCCAGAGTGCTGGGACTACAGGCATGTGCCACCCTGCCCGGCCTGCCTTTCTTTCAACAAAACAATTATCCTCTTGTTAATAATAGGGCCTCCAATTTTTTGAGCACTTACTAGGGACAAGATGCTGTATTTTACTTGTGTGACTCAACACAATGTAACAGGAAGGTAGGGACAGTGATGATCATCTTTTGACCTAGTAGGGAACTGAGGCACTGAGAGACCAAATCAATTCCCCAAGGCCACTGATTTGAATTCTGATTGGATGCCAGAGTCTGGAGACAACCCCAGGGTGCACTGATGAGAGCCCCATGGTGAAATCACACTGAGGGAGGTAGAGAAGGGGTTTCAGTAGAGGACTTTTCCAACAATGTTTGTCTTTACTGGGAAATAAATTGTGTGCATTTAAGCCCTTGGGCCAAATGGTAGGTACTGTATAACACTACTGTGTAAAAACACATGTACAGCTGTTTTATTTGTTTTTCATTTCTATTATGTTTAAATTTAAAAAAATTATGTATACTTATTGTGTACAGAATGATGTGTTGAAATATGTGTACATTGTGCAATGGCCAAGTTAAGCCAGCTTACGTATGCATTAATTCACATGTTTAACATTTTCTTGTTGTAAGAACACTTAAAATCTACTCTTATAGTGACCTAGTGTTATTTTATAATAGACAATTTGACCTCAAATAAATGTCATGAGGTTCTAGCTCAGAAAAACCCTCAATTCACGCTACATCACAAAAATCATAGCTTATTATACCAATTCTTAGAAGTAAACCATTGAATAAATTTGAAGTGACTGGCTTGAGTGACATTTATCACTTCAAATACCAGTTTTCTTTCAGCTTGATTTAGACTTATATTTAATTAAATCTTTTGGAATGGAAATTAATATTAAATTTACATGCAATATATATTGGCCACCTGAGTCATCTTAGGCTATTTGTTGCACACTTCTTTTATGCCCCCTCCAAGTCTTCAACCTCTCCTTGAAAGTCCTAGCTATATACCTATTTGCCCACAAATTTTGAATATAGGATTTATGCTTCTATAAATTCAAATTGCTGTTTGTCTGCCAAAAATGTAATTTTCCCCTCATTAACCTACATTTCCAGTGTTCTGTTTTCTGTGGAGACCTTCCACACTTGCATGAGTACACTCTTCACCTACAGTGCTTTGTTCGTACCTATAAAGTAGCAAATGAAGATGTAGCCCTAATACAACATGGTGAGATAATTTAACTATTTGAGGGTTAGGCTTTGTGATGACATTGTCTTGAATTTTCATAAAACAGTAATAGTCTTCCTTACATTATCCATCTCTTTGTTTATATGCTTTCTGTAAGTCATATATATTTCTAGCACAGTTATTACAAGTACAATGTATTAAACCATAAATATGAACACAGTGTATATAAACCAGACATTTCTACTTTGTTTCCAAAATCCCCAAAGTGTATAAATGCCATGGTATCTTTTCCTCTCCAGTAGGCTATTAGCGCTTTGAGGGCAGAATCATGTCGTCTCTGTATTTTCCAGTATTTGGAGTAGTGACTCACACGGCATGCAGTGGTTACTCAGTAAATGAGTTAAATGAATAAACAGTTAATGAATAAGAATCCTGAAAACAAGGGAATAGTAAGTAAGCTATTTTATATTTTCAAGATACACTATTTCCAGTGAAAACCTAAAAAATGAAGTATGAAATAAGTTCATAATTTGAGGCCATCTACTTATCCATTTTATTCTTCCAGAAATAAAAAAAAAATACATATATGTGAATGTTAGTGTCCCCACCTGTGGACCCTACCCTTCAAAATGGTGATTCAAGTAGGAGTTTAGTATGGGACATCACTTTAAAGTCTCTAAAAAAATAAGTTCTTGGACCTCTTACCCCAAATCTGTTAATTCTTCATTTTTCTCATATCAGTTATTGGTAACTTCATTTTTCTACTTAGAAACTGCATGTTTGTGTCCCTGCAGCATTCATGTTGAAACCTTAATCTCAATGTGATAGTATTTAGAGGTGGGGACTTTGGGAAGTAATAAGGTTAGGAGGGTAGAGTCCTAATGAATGGGGTTTGTGCTCTCCTAAGGAGTGGGCAGAGAGGATACAAGGAGATGTTTGCAGTCGGCAACTCAGAAGAGTTTCCTCTTAGAACCTGACATATTGGCACCATAATGTCAGACTTCCAGCTTCCAGAATTGTGAGAAATCTATATTTGTTGTTTAAGCCAACAAGTCTTTGGGAATTTTTTTATAGCAGTCTGAACAAACTAAGACACTTGTTCATGCCTAAAACCTTGGAACCATCTCTGATTCTTCCCTCTGTTATACATCTAACATATCCACAGATCCACCTACTTCTTTCCTTCTCCATTATCACCTGCTGGAATTATCGTGAAAGTCTCAGAACTCAGTTCCAAGCTTCCTCCCTTCTTTTTGATGGTAGCCAGAGTAGTCTAGTTAAATACAAATGTCAAATCAGGTAGTTTCTCTGCCTATAATTATCCCAAGGCTTCCTATTTCATAATCAGTGAAATAATACAAGTCCTTCCAATAACCTACAATCCCTTCCACGATTGGGCTCCTGGATTCTTCTCTACTCTGATTCCCTTTCCTTCATCTCTCACCAAAACTCACCTCCAGCCAAACAGGGCTCCTTAACATTGCTCTAATATCCCAGGAATGCATCTGCCTTAGAGTCTATGCATTGTCCAGCCATCTTCTTGAGATCCTCTTCATCCAGAGATCCGTACATATATTTTGTTCTCTCACCTCCTTCGAATGCTACCTTCTTATTAAGGATGTTTATACATAACCCTATTTTAGATTGCAACCTGTCTCCTCAATATGTAGATACTCCCTATCCTCCTTCCCTGTTTTATTTTTCTCCACAGCCCTTAACACAATCTGATATGCCATGTATTTTAACTAGTATATAATTACTAGAATGTCAGCCTTGTGAGGCCTGGGACTTTGTTGTCCACTTTGCTCATTGCTAATCCTAGTAACTAGAACAGTGCCTACAACTAATATTTGTTGAAAGAATGAATTAAGAGACATATGTTTTGAGGCACAGAAACATATGAAAAAATAATACTGCAAAACAGATTCAACCAAGAGAACTAGGGGCCGGTTTGTTGATATTTAACAAAAACATTAATGTTTCCAGAAAGACCTAAGGAGAAAAAAAGTCCTCAAAAATCTTTGCACTGAAAAAGTGATGATGAAACAGTTAAAACATTTATTTTCTAAATGTGACATGCTCTAGGAGCTACACATCACTTCAGCTCATGTTTACACATTATGTTACTATAACTGCTTAAAATGTAGGGATTTTTAATTGAATTTTATGGCTGGTCTACATTGTTGACAGTAATTTTTATGTTATAGCTTATGAGTTTAGTCATAGAAGGATAGAGAGAAATTTCCATTGATGTAATAAAATATCTATAAAAGTAAAATGGTGTTTCCTTAGTAGGTAGTTATATCTCTCTAAATCTCTGAGCATGCAATTATAAATAAATGCATTTTGAGAGTGATTATTTTGTAAATTAAATAGCTTTCTTTAAACATTAAGAATTAATGATATATTCCTAGATTTGTTACCTAAAGTATATATTTTACACAATTTCCTTTTAAAAATACCTTTGTAATATATTTACAGATAGAATCCCAAGACTTTCTAAAAATTTTTTTATATTAGAGATGTCCATATTCAAGTAGATTATTTTAATACACAGCATTTGAAAATAAGTTCAATGTTTATGTCTTTACTAATTAGATTTTATTTAAAACACCAAGTTATGAAAATATGCATTTTATGTTTTTCTATATTATGTTAATATCTTTTAACTAGTTTTTAAAATGGTCAATATAGGTTTTTAATTGGAAATTATATTGTTAACCTATACTTATCATAATCAACTAATTGATTGAAATATTTAAGATTTTATTTATTTAGGAACATTTAGAATTTTAAATTTTCAGAAAATATACTTATTAGTCAAATTCAATATGAACCAAAACTTCACTTCTTCATTCTTCTTCATAGTTATTAATAGTCACTCAAGATATTTTACTTACTTCCTCATGGGAAATGATGATGAAAAATGGGAATGTTCCATTGTTATTGACCTTTAAAATCTCTTAAGTTAAGGATTATGAATACTTTTAGCTCAAAGCATACATAATCTTGCTATTTTCTTTTTCTTCTACATATTCCCACTCAACAGCATTTTCTTGAATTTTAAAATGGATAACATTCATTTGACATTTTGCAGTCTAAAAATTAAATTTTCATGCTTGCTTTGAATACATCTGGGAAACTAGAAATGAAATTTTGATAGAAATAAAAATGCCACTGGGAGTATTATTGATTACCCAGAATGTGTGGCTTTCATTTACCAGTTAAAACATATTAGCTAAGTCATCTGGAAATGGGTTGGCATCTATTCTTTCAATCATTAATATAATAGATAATTTAGATCCATTGTCTGTAAAAGCTTTCAGATGATCATAAAATGTTAGAACATAAAAGATCTGATTAACTTTCTAGAATCTAGACAATTGGAACATCATTTTCAGAGAGTATTAATATCTCCAGATTATAAGACAAGCAGTCACAAAACATTGGTTTGAACATTTATACCATCTTCGATAAAAGGATGTTCCTCTCTTTCTTGTTAACTGCTAACTTAAAAATAATAAAATTAAAAATAAATCCCCAGTGCCTTTTACATTGTCCCAGCTCAATTCCTGGCTTTAGTCAATCTAGCATTCTATTTAAAACTCTCTAATTCTTCCTATTTTTCTGTGGTGAGGTGCTCTTATGCACTACTTTTATTCTCGTGTCAAAATCCGTACTCTGAGGCAGCTGCCTAACAATTACATGTGCTTTTACATTCTCATATTTTCCTAAAATTGAAACCATTATATAAATGTTAATTATGATTTATTGCCCTTATTTGGAATGCCAGTTTACTGAATGCCTACTCTGGACCATACTGGGTTAAGTCTAGGCAATTCAAAGACTGAAGATGAATACTTTACCTTTAAGAAATTTAAGGAAACTATTGGAGGAAGATTGCTTTTTCTCTTGTGAAAATTGAGATTGTCACATTCTACTTGGATTTCCAGAATTTATCAATTTTAATATCAGTTTCAAATTGTATTCCCTTTTACTTGTAATGCTCATACTGTATTAGCTATTTTTCGGTATTGAAATCTGCTCCCCTCAAATCATAATATTTGTAAAGAATGGTCATAATTTCCTTTCTATAATTATTATAAGTTCCAAATTGGCATGGTAAATTCTCCTTTTCTTCTTTTTTCTTTTCTTTTTTTCTTTTCTTTTTTTTTTTTTTTTTTTTTTTGAGATAGAGTCTTGCTATGTCTCCCAGGCTAGAGAGCAGTGGCACGGTTATGACTCAATGCAACCTCGACCTCCTGGGCTCAAATGATCCTCCCACCTCAATACCTCAAGTAGCTGGGACCACGGGTGGATGTCACCACGCCCAGCTAGCAGTTTTAATTATTTTTTGTTGCCCAGCCTGGTCTTGAACTCCTGGGCTTAGGTGATTCTCCCACCTTGGCCTCCAAAAATATTGAGATTACAGGCATGAGCCATGGCACTCAGCCCCTAATTCTCCTTTTTAAAATTTTCAAAGTACTTCTTTCTCCTCCTCATGCCATTTATATAGCAGGTGCTTTGTTTATACTCATCATCTAATCTATTTGATAATGTGGCCCTTCTCTTTGATTGTTGCTATATTACACAGAATTTTTAAGACTGCAAAGGTAATATGGACAGCCACACCTAACTTTTACTAATTTCTGTAGTTTGTCTGCTACCTCACAATGAATAATAAGTAGTTATTCCCTGTGAGGTAAAATTAACTCTAGAGAAAAAGCTCCCTTTTTTTGTTTTAACTAGCTTTTTTTTGGATTCTGTTGTTTGGCATGGCAGTGATACAATGGCTTTGTGTAAGAAACGTTAAGAGTAACTTTTTAATCTTGTTCTTATTTTCTGAAGTCATACTAGGGCAGTATTTGATTTAGTAAATTAATGTAACCTGGATGTTCTAAATACCTTAAAATGTCATCAGATACTACAGTATTTCTTAAAGTGTGGTTCCAGGTCCCCTGGAAGGGAGGGTTCCCAAAATACTTCCAGGGAGTCCAAGAAGTCACATCTCATTTCATAATAATACTAATATATTATTTACTTCTCTTAAACTGTCATTCCCTCATGAGTATACAGTTGTTTGTCAGAGGCTACATGACTCATTTCATCACAACAGGGTGAATGCAGAAGTGGATGTCAAAATCTAAGTGACTTCTTTCAAGCCATTTAGTAAAGAGTTTTGCAAAAGTGTAAAACAAAATGTTTTGCTTCTTACCATATTTTTGCATATATATTTAAGATTTTTTAACAGTTTTTCCTTTCTAATGTGGTAACTATTTATAATCCATGTGTATAAAGAAGTCCTGAAACCAAGATGTTTGAAAATCACTGATATGTAGATCTATGGATTATAAAAAAAGCTCATGATTTTTTAGAATCTATATTAGAAATCCTCATGTATTTACAGTGAGTTGTATTCTAGAGTTTTCTTTAAAATTGCTTATAGTCAGTGGAAGTAGTGTGAAGGAGAATAAAATAGTCTGAAATGAAAAACTGGGAAATTGAGGCCGGTCGCAACAGCTCATGCCTGTAATCCTAGCATGTTGGGAGGCTAAGGCAGGTGGATCACTTGAGATCAGGAGTTTGAGACCTGCCTGGCCAACATGGAGAAACATCATTTCTACTAAAAATACAAAAATTAGCTGGGAACAGTGGTGCATGGCTGTAATCCCAGCTACTTGGGAGGTAGAGGAGGGAGAATAGCTTGAACCTGGGAGGCAGAGGCTGCAGTGACCTGAGATGGCGCCCCTGCACTCCCGCCTGGTTGACAGCCAGACTCTATCTCAAAAAAAAAAAAAAAAAAAAAAAGAAAGAGAGAGACAGAGACAGAGAGAGAAAAAGAAAAGAAAAACTGGGAAATTGTAGATGACTTTTTAAGCAATATGATGCTCTCAGGAAGGCGGACAATGAAGATGAACTAAAAGTTATTTTCAAAATCTCTGTTGATTTTTAAATTATTGTTAGATAATATCCTATTTTTCCCCCATTCTTATAAATAAAATGTCAGTCCTAGCAGGAATATTTACTAAACTTTTCTTATGCATCTCATTCATTCAACTAACATTTTGTAAGGGACATCTCTGTGTAAGGCTTTCTAGTCTATGGCTAATTCCAAAGTGAATATGAAAATGTATCCTTCACAACTTTCATTCAAACTGTATAACAAATGGCAGATCTGAGATTCAAGCCTATAGTACAACCAGTGAGGCCAGATTGTGTATTTATCCATCAAATTTTAATTCTTCAGAATTGAGAAATTTGGTTCAGTAAACACATGTTGAATATGCAAAGAATTCCCATCTACCTTGTCAAAGCAAGGCTTTCCTTTATTAAGATATGTGTACTCTCCAAATAATTTAAAACACAATATAAGTATGACTTTTGTGGTAAACTATAAGAATGGTTTTCCTTTGACCCTCTTCTTAGATTCATGATATAGAGACTTGGTTTAATTATATTAATGATTTTTTGTGAGCTTATATAACAGGTTTTCTTTTTCTTACTGATATGAGATGTTTATAGTGCGCTGTGTGGCTTGTGAACCCAAGAATGCTTTATGTTTTTAATCTGAAGAACAGCCGTAATGTTTTCTTTATATTAATTTTCACCTCTTTAGATTTCCATAGAGGACATTTCAAAGATTTATGTTTAGCATAAACACTTCTTTTAGTTAATTGTAGAAGTTTAACACTGACTATATTTACAGCCCCGTAGGTATAGTTTAAAATGTACATATTAAACAGAATTGCTCTCTGGCAT